>NC_000004.12:49712061-50012061 GCF_000001405.40 Homo sapiens | reverse complement strand
ATGCTGTATCAAAACAAAGTTTCAACTCTGTTAGTTGAGGACACACATCACAAATAAGTTTCTGAGGATGCTTCTGTCTAGTTTTAATTTGAAGATATTTCCTTTCTCACCATAGGCCTGAAAGCGCTTGAAATGTCCACTTCCAGATACTACAGAATGAGTGTTTCAAACCTGCTCTATCAAAGTGAATGTTCAATTCTGTGACTTCAATGCAAACATCACAAAGTAGTTCCTGAGAATGCTTCTCTCTACATTTTATATGTAATCCCGCTTCCAACGAAATCCTCAAAGCCATCCGAATATCCACTTTCTGATTCCACAAAAAGATTGTTTTAAAACTGCTCTGTAAAAACAAAAGTTCAAGTCTGTTAGTTGAATACACACATCACAAACAAGTTTCTGAGAATGCTTTCCGTCTAGTTTTTATGGGAAGATATTTCCTTTTTCACCATAGGCCTCAAAACGCTCGAAATGTCCACTTCCAGGAAGTCCGGAAAGAGTGTTTCAAACCTGCTCTATAAAAGGGAATATTCAACTCTGTGACTTCAATGCAAACATCACAAAGCAGTTTCTGAGAATGCTTCCGTCTAGACTTTAAATGAAGATATTCCCGTTTCCAACGAAATCTTCAAAGCTATCTAAATATCAACTTGCAGATTCTACTAAAGGAATGTTTCCAAAATGTTGTATCCAAGCAATGGTTCAACTCTGTTAATTGAGGACATACAGCACAAAGAAGTTTCTGAGAATGCTTCTGTCTAGATTTAATATGAAGATAACCCGTTTCCAACGAAATCCTCAAAGCTATCCAAATATCCACTTGCAGATTCTACAAAAAGAGTGTTTCAAAACTGCTCTGTCAAAAGGATGGTTCAACACTGTTACATGAGTACACACAACACAAAGAAGTTTCTGAGAACGCTTCTTTCTGGTTTTTATGAGAAGATATTTCCTTTTTCACCATAGGCCTCAAAGCGCTCGAAATGTCCACTTCCTGGTAGTGCAGAAAGAGTGTTTCAAACCTGCTCTATGAAAGGAAGTGTTCAACTCCATGAGCTGAATGCAAACATCACAGAGAAGTTTCTGAGAATGCTTCTGTTTGATTTTATATGAAGAAATTCCCGTTTCCAACGAAATCTTCAAAGCTATCCACATATCCACCTGCAGATTCTACAAAAGGAGTGTTTCCAAAATGCTGTATCAAAACCAAGGTTCAACTCTGTTAGTTGAGGACACACATCACAAATAAGTTTCTGAGAATGCTTCTGTCTAGATTTTATATGAAGATATCCCCTTTCCAACGAATCCCTCTAAGCTATCCAAATATGCACCTGCAGATTCTACAAAAAGAGTGTTTCCAAAAGGCTGTATCAAAACAAAGTTTCAACTCTGTTAGTTGAGGACACACATCACAAATAAGTTTCTGACGATGCTTCTGTCTAGTTTTTATTTGAAGATATTTCCTTTCTCACCATAGGCCTGAAAGCGCTTGAAATGTCCACTTCCAGATACTACAGAATGAGTGTTTCAAACCTGCTCTATCAAAGTGAATGTTCAATTCTGTGACTTCAATGCAAACATCACAAAGAAGTTCCTGAGAATGCTTCTCTCTAGATTTTATATGTAATCCCGCTTCCAACGAAATCCTCAGAGCCATCCGAATATCCACTTTCTGATTCCACAAAAAGAGTGTTTTAAAACTGCTCTGTAGAAACAAAAGTTCAACTCAGTTGAATACACACATCACAAACAAGTTTCTGAGAATGCTTCTTTCTGGTTTTTATGAGAAGATATTTCCTTTTTCACCATAGGCCTCAAAGCGCTCGAAATCTCCACTTCCAGGGAGTGCAGAAAGAGTGTTTCAAACTTGCTCTGTAAAAGAATATTTAACTCTGTGACTTGAATGCAAACATCACAAAGCAGTTTCTGACAATGCTTCCGTCTAGATTTTTTATGAAGATATTCCCGTTTCCAACGAAATCTTCAAAGCTATCTAAATATCAACTTGCAGATTCTACTAAAGGAATGTTTCCAAAATGCTGTATCCAAACAAAGGTTCAACTCTGTGAATTGAGGACATACAGCACAAAGAAGTTTCTGAGAATGCTTCTGTCTAGATTTAATATGAAGATAACCCGTTTCCAACGAAATCCTCAAAGCTATCCAAATATCCACTTGCAGATTCTACAAAAAGAGTGTTTCAAAACTGCTCTGTCAAAAGGATGGTTCAACACTGTTACATGAGTACACACAACACAAAGAAGTTTCTGAGAACGCTTCTTTCTGGTTTTTATGAGAAGATATTTCCTTTTTCACCATAGGCCTCAAAGCGCTCGAAATGTCCACTTCCTGGTAGTGCAGAAAGAGTGTTTCAAACCTGCTCTATGAAAGGAAGTGTTCAACTCCATGAGCTGAATGCAAACATCACAGAGAAGTTTCTGAGAATGCTTCAGTTTGATTTTATATGAAGAAATTCCCGTTTCCAACGAAATCTTCAAAGCTATCCACATATCCACCTGCAGATTCTACAAAAGGAGTGTTTCCAAAATGCTGTATCAAAACCAAGGTTCAACTCTGTTAGTTGAGGACACACATCACAAATAAGTTTCTGAGAATGCTTCTGTCTAGGTTTTATATGAAGATATCCCCTTTCCAACGAATCCCTCTAAGCTATCCAAATATCCACCTGCAGATTCTACAAAAAGAGTGTTTCCAAAATGCTGTATCAAAACAAAGTTTCAACTCTGTTAGTTGAGGACACACATCACAAATAAGTTTCTGAGGATGCTTCTGTCTAGTTTCTATTTGAAGATATTTCCTTTCTCCCCATAGGCCTGAAAGCGCTTGAATTGTCGGCTTCCAGATACTACAGAATGAGTGTTTCAAACCTGCTCTATCAAAGTGAATGTTCAATTCTGTGACTTCAATGCAAACATCACAAAGTAGTTCCTGAGAATGCTTCTTTCTAGATTTTATATGTAATCCCGCTTCCAACGAAATCCTCAAAGCCATCCGAATATCCACTTTGTGATTCCACAAAAAGATTGTGTTAAAACTGCTCTGTAAAAACAAAAGTTCAAGTCTGTTAGTTGAATACACACATCACAAACAAGTTTCTGAGAATGCTTCTGTCTAGTTTTTATGGGAAGATATTTCCTTTTTCACCATAGGCCTCAAAGCGCTCGAAATGTCCACTTCCAGATAGTGCAGAAAGAGTGTTTCAAACGTGCTCTATTAAAGAGAATATTCAACTCTGTGACTTGAATGGAAACATCACAAAGCAGTTTCTGAGAATGCCTCCGTCTAGATTTTATATGAAGATATTCCCGTTTCCAACGAAATCTTCAAATCTATCTAAATATCAACTTGCAGATTCTACTAAAGGAATGTTTCCAAAATGCTGTATCCAAGCAATGGTTCAACTCGGTTAATTGAGGACATACAGCACAAAGAAGTTTCTGAGAATGCTTCTGTCTAGATTTTATATGAAGATATCCCGTTTCCAACGAAATCCTCAAAGCTATCCAAATATCCACTTGCAGATTCTACAAAAAGATTGTTTCAAAACTGCTGTGTCAAAAGGAAGGTTCAACTCTGTTACTTGAGTACACACATCAAAAAGAAGTTTCTGAGAATGCTTGTTTCTGGTTTTTATGAGAAGATATTTCCTTTTTCACCATAGGCCTCAAAGCGCTGCAAATGTCCACTTCCAAATATTACAAAAAGAGTGTTTCAAACCTGCTCTATGAAAGGAAGTTTTCAACTCTATGAGTGGAATGCAAACATCACAGAGAAGTTTGCTGAGAATGCATTCTGTCTTGAGTTTATATGCAGAAATTCCCGTTTCCAACGAAATCTTAAAATCTATCCAAATATCCACCTGCAGATCCTACAAAAGGAGTGTTTCCAAAATGCTGTATCAAAACAAAGGTTCAACTGTGTTCGTTTAGGACACACATCACAAATAAGTTTCTGAGAATCCTTCTGTCTAGTTTTTATTTGAAGATATTTCCTTTCTCCCCGTAGGCCTGAAAGCGCTTGAAATGTCCACTTCCAGATACTACAGAAAGAGTGTTTCAAACCTGCACTCTGAAAAGGAATGTTCAATTCTGTGACTTGAATGCAAACATCAGAAAGAAGTTCCTGAGAATGCTTCTCTCTAGATTTTATACGTCATCCCGTTTCCAACGAAATCCACAAAGCTATCCAATTATCCACTTTCAGATTCCACAGAAAGAGTGTTTTAAAATTGCTCTGTAACAGAAATGTTCAACTCTGGTAGTTGAATACACACATCACAAACAAGTTTCTGAGACGGCTTCTGTCTAGTTTTTATGGGAAGATATTTCCTTTTAACCATAGGCCTCAAAGAGCTCGAAATATCCACTTCCAGGTAGTGCCGAAAGAGTGTTTCAAACCTACTCTATAAAAGGGAATATTCAACTCTGTGACTTGAATGCAAACATCACAAAGCAGTTTCTGAGAATGCTTCCGTCTAGATTTTCTATGAAGATATTCCCGTTTCCAACGAAATCTTCAAAGCTATCTAAATATCAACTTGCAGATTCTACTAAAGGAATGTCTCCAAAATGCTGTATCCAAACAAAGGTTCAGCTCTGTGAATTGAGGACATACAGCACAAAGAAGTTTCTGAGAATGCTCCTGTCTGGATTTTATATGAAGATAACCCGTTTCCAACGAAATCCTCAAAGCTATCCAAATATCCACTTGCAGATTCTACCAAAAGAGTGTTTCAAAACTGCTCTGTCAAAAGGAAGGTTCAACACTGTTACTTGAGTACACACAACACAAAGAAGTTTCTGAGAATGCTTCTTTCTGGTTTTTATGAGAAGATATTTCCTTTTTCACCATAGGCCTCAAACGCTCGAAATGTCCGCTTCCAGGTAGTGCAGAAAGAGTGTTTCAAACCTGCTCTATGAAAGGAAGTGTTCAACTCTACTGAGTTGAATGCAAACATCACAGAGATGTTTCCGAGAATGCTTCTGTCTTGATTTTATATGAAGATATTCCGGTTTCCAACGAAATCTTCAAAGCTATCCAAATATCCACCTGCAGATTCTACAAAAGGAGTGTTTCCAAAATGCTGTATCAAAACAAAGGTTCAACTCTGTTAGTTGAGGACACACATCACAAATAAGTTTCTGAGAATGCTTCTGTCTAGTTTTTATTTGAAGGTATTTCCTTTCTCTCCATAGGCCTGAAAGCGCTTGAAATGCCCACTTCCAGATACTAGAGAAAGAGTGTTTCAAACCTGCTCTATGAAAGGGAATGTTCAATTCTGTGACTTGAATGCAAACATCACAAAGAAGTTCCTGAGAATGCTTCTCTCTAGATATTATATGTCATCCCGTTTCCAACGAAATCCTCAAAGCTATCCAAATATCCACTTGCAGATTCTACAAAAAGAGTGTTTCAAAACTGCTCTGTCAAAAGGATGGTTCAACACTGTTACATGAGTACACACAACACAAAGAAGTTTCTGAGAATGCTTCTTTCTGGTTTCTATGAGAAGATATTTCCTTTTTCACCATAGGACTCAAAGCGCTCGAAATGTCCTCTTCCAGGTAGTGCAGAAAGAGTGTTTCAAACCTGCTCTATGAAAGGAAGTGTACAACTCCATGAGCTGAATGCAAACATCACTGAGAAGTTTCTGAGAATGCTTCTGTTTGATTTTATATGAAGAAATTCCCGTTTCCAACGAAATCTTCAGAGCTATCCACATATCCACCTGCAGATTCTACAAAAGGAGTGTTTCCAAAATGCTGTATCAAAACCAAAGTTCAACTCTGTTAGTTGAGGACACACATCACAAATAAGTTTCTGAGAATGCTTCTGTCTAGATTTTATATGAAGATATCCCCTTTCCAACGAATCCCTTTAAGCTATCCAAATATCCACCTGCAGATTCTACAAAAAGAGTGTTTCCAAAATGCTGTATCAAAACAAAGTTTCAACTCTGTTAGTTGAGGACACACATCACAAATAAGTTTGAGGATGCTTCTGTCTAGTTTTTATTCGAAGATATTTCCTTTCTCACCATAGGTCTGAAAGCGCTTGAAATGTCCACTTCCAGATACTACAGAATGAGTGTTTCAAACCTGCTCTATCAAAGTGAATGTTCAATTCTGTGACTTCAATGCAAACATCACAAAGAAGTTCCTGAGAATGCTTCTCTCTAGATTTTATACGTAATCCCGCTTCCAACGAAATCCTCAGAGCCATCCGAATATCCACTTTCTGATTCCACAAAAAGAGTGTTTTAAAACGGCTCTGTAAAAACAAAAGTTCAACTCTGTTAGTTGAATACACACATCACAAACAAGTTTCTGAGAATGCTTCTGTCTAGTTTTTATGGGAAGATATTTCCTTTTTCACCATAGGCCTCAAAGCACTCGAAATGTCCGCTTGCAGATAGTGCAGAAAGAGTGTTTCAAACGTGCTCTATAAAAGGGAATATTCAACTCTGTGACTTGAATGGAAACATCACAAAGCAGTTTCTGAGAATGCTTCCCTCTAGATTTTATATGGAGATATTCCCTTTTCCAACGAAATCTTCAAATCTATCTAAATATCAACTTGCAGATTCTACTCAAGGAATGTTTCCAAAATGCTGTATCCAGGCAATGGTTCAACTCTGTTAATTGAGGACATACAGCACAAAGAAGTTTCTGAGAATGCTTCTGTCTAGATTTTATATGAAGATATCCCGTTTCCAACGAAATCCTCAAAGCTATCCAAATATCCACTTGCAGATTCTACAAAAAGATTGTTTCAAAACTGCTGTGTCAAAAGGAAGGTTCAACTCTGTTACTTGAGTACACACATCAAAAAGAAGTTTCTGAGAATGCTTGTTTCTGGTTTTTATGAGAAGATATTTCCTTTTTCACCATAGGCCTCAAAGCGCTGCAAATGTCCACTTCCAAATATTACAAAAAGAGTGTTTCAAACCTGCTCTATGAAAGGAAGTTTTCAACTCTATGAGTGGAATGCAAACATCACAGAGAAGTTTCTGAGAATGCATCTGTCTTGAGCTTCTATGAAGAAATTCCCGTTTCCAACGAAATCTTAAAATCTATCCAAATATCCACCTGCAGATCCTACAAAAGGAGTGTTTCCAAAATGCTGTATCAAAACAAAGGTTCAACTGTGTTCGTTTAGGACACACATCACAAATAAGTTTCTGAGAATCCTTCTGTCTAGTTTTTAATTTGAAGATATTTCCTTTCTCCCTATAGGCCTTAAAGCGCTTGAAATGTCCACTTCCAGATACTACAGAAAGAGTGTTTCAAACCTGCACTATGAAAAGTAATGTTCAATTCTGTGACTTGAATGCAAACATCAGAAAGAAGTTCCTGAGAATGCTTCTCTCTAGATTTTATACGTCATCCCGTTTCCAACGAAATCCACAAAGCTATCCAATTATCCACTTTCAGATTCCACAAAAAGAGTGTTTTAAAACTGCTCTGTAACAGAAATGTTCAGCTCTGTTAGTTGAATACACACATCACAAACAATTTTCTGAGACGGCTTCTGTCTAGTTTTTATGGGAAGATATTTCCTTTTAACCATAGGCCTCATAAGAGCTCGAAATATCCACTTCCAGGTAGTGCCGAAAGAGTGTTTCAAACCTACTCTATAAAAGGGAATATTCAACTCTGTGACTTGAATGCAAACATCACAAAGCAGTTTCTGAGAATGCTTCCCTCTAGATTTTATATGGAGATATTCCCTTTTCCAACGAAATCTTCAAATCTATCTAAATATCAACTTGCAGATTCTACTCAAGGAATGTTTCCAAAATGCTGTATCCAGGCAATGGTTCAACTCTGTTAATTGAGGACATACAGCACAAAGAAGTTTCTGAGAATGCTTCTGTCTAGATTTTATATGAAGATATCCCGTTTCCAACGAAATCCTCAAAGCTATCCAAATATCCACTTGCAGATTCTACAAAAAGATTGTTTCAAAACTGCTGTGTCAAGAGGAAGGTTCAACTCTGTTACTTGAGTACACACATCAAAAAGAAGTTTCTGAGAATGCTTGTTTCTGGTTTTTATGAGAAGATATTTCCTTTTTCACCATAGGCCTCAAAGCGCTGCAAATGTCCACTTCCAAATATTACAAAAAGAGTGTTTCAAACCTGCTCTATGAAAGGAAGTTTTCAACTCTATGAGTGGAATGCAAACATCACAGAGAAGTTTCTGAGAATGCATCTGTCTTGAGCTTCTATGAAGAAATTCCCGTTTCCAACGAAATCTTAAAATCTATCCAAATATCCACCTGCAGATCCTACAAAAGGAGTGTTTCCAAAATGCTGTATCAAAACAAAGGTTCAACTGTGTTCGTTTAGGACACACATCACAAATAAGTTTCTGAGAATCCTTCTGTCTAGTTTTTATTTGAAGATATTTCCTTTCTCCCCGTAGGCCTGAAAGCGCTTGAAATGTCCACTTCCAGATACTACAGAAAGAGTGTTTCAAACCTGCACTCTGAAAAGGAATGTTCAATTCTGTGACTTGAATGCAAACATCAGAAAGAAGTTCCTGAGAATGCTTCTCTCTAGATTTTATACGTCATCCCGTTTCCAACGAAATCCACAAAGCTATCCAATTATCCACTTTCAGATTCCACAAAAAGAGTGTTTTAATATTGCTCTATAACAGAAATGTTCAACTCTGGTAGTTGAATACACACATCACAAACAAGTTTCTGAGACGGCTTCTGTCTAGTTTTTATGGGAAGATATTTCCTTTTAACCATAGGCCTCAAAGAGCTCGAAATATCCACTTCCAGGTAGTGCCGAAAGAGTGTTTCAAACCTACTCTATAAAAGGGAATATTCAACTCTGTGACTTGAATGCAAACATCACAAAGCAGTTTCTGAGAATGCTTCCGTCTAGATTTTATATGAAGATATTCCCGTTTCCAACGAAATCTTCAAATCTATCTAAATATCAACTTGCAGATTCTACTAAAGGAATGTTTCCAAAATGCTGTATCCAAGCAATGGTTCAACTCTGTGAATTGAGAACATACAGCACAAAGAAGTTTCTGAGAATGCTTCTGTCTAGATTTTATATGAAGATATCCCGTTTCCAACGAAATCCTCAAATCTATCCATATATCCACTTGCAGATTCTACAAAAAGATTGTTTCAAAACTGCTGTGTCAAAAGGAAGGTTCAACTCTGTTACTTGAGTACACATATCAAAAAGCAGTTTCTGAGAATGCTTGTTTCTGGTTTTTATGAGAAGATATTTCCTTTTTCACCATAGGCCTCAAAGCGCTGCAAATGTCCACTTCCAAATATTACAAAAAGAGTGTTTCAAACCTGCTCTATGAAAGGAAGTTTTCAACTCTATGAGTGGAATGCAAACATCACAGAGAAGTTTCTGAGAATGCATCTGTCTTGAGTTTATATGAAGAAATTCCCGTTTCCAACGAAATCTTAAAATCTATCCACATATCCACCTGCAGATTCTACAAAGGGAGTGTTTCCAAAATGCTGTATCAAAACAAAGGTTCAACTGTGTTCGTTGAGGACACACATCACCAATAAGTTTCTGAGAATCCTTCTGTCTAGTTTTTATTTGAAGATATTTCCTTTCTCCCCATAGGCCTGAAAGCGCTTGAAATGTCCACTTCCAGATACTACAGAAAGAGTGTTTCAAACCTGCACTATGAAAAGGAATGTTCAATTCTGTGACTTGAATGCAAACATCAGAAAGAAGTTCCTGAGAATGCTTCTCTCTAGATTTTATACGTCATCCCGTTTCCAACGAAATCCACAAAGCTATCCAATTATCCACTTTCAGATTCCACAAAAGTGTGTTTTAAAACTGCTCTGTAAAAAGAAATGTTCAACGCTCTTAGTTGAATACACACATCTCAAACAAGTTTCTGAGAAGGCTTCCGTCTGGTTTTTATGGGAAGATATTTCCTTTTTCACCATAGGCCTCAAAGCGCTCGAAATCTCCACTTCCAGGGAGTGCAGAAAGAGTGTTTCAAACCTGCTCTGTAAAAGAATATTTAACTCTGTGACTTGAATGCAAACATCACAAAGCAGTTTCTGACAATGCTTCCGTCTAGATTTTTTATGAAGATATTCCCGTTTCCAACGAAATCTTCAAAGCTATCTAAATATCAACTTGCAGATTCTACTAAAGGAATGTTTCCAAAATGCTGTATCCAAACAAAGGTTCAACTCTGTGAATTGAGGACATACAGCACAAAGAAGTTTCTGAGAATGCTTCTGTCTAGATTTAATATGAAGATAACCCGTTTCCAACGAAATCCTCAAAGCTATCCAAATATCCACTTGCAGATTCTACAAAAAGAGTGTTTCAAAACTGCTCTGTCAAAAGGATGGTTCAACACTGTTACATGAGTACACACAACACAAAGAAGTTTCTGAGAACGCTTCTTTCTGGTTTTTATGAGAGGATATTTCCTTTTTCACCATAGGCCTCAAAGCGCTCGAAATGTCCACTTCCAGGTAGTGCAGAAAGAGTGTTTCAAACCTGCTCTATGAAAGGAAGTGTTCAACTCCATGAGCTGAATGCAAACATCACAGAGAAGTTCCTGAGAATGCTTCTGTTTGATTTTATATGAAGAAATTCCCGTTTCCAACGAGATCTTCAAAGCTATCCACATATCCACCTGCAGATTCTTCAAAAGGAGTGTTTCCAAAATGCTGTATCAAAACCAAGGTTCAACTCTGTTAGTTGAGGACACACATCACAAATAAGTTTCTGAGAATGCTTCTGTCTAGATTTTATATGAAGATATCCCCTTTCCAACGAATCCCTCTAAGCTATCCAAGTATCCACCTGCAGATTCTACAAAAAGAGTGTTTCCAAAATGCTGTATCAAAACAAAGTTTCAACTCTGTTAGTTGAGGACACACATCACAAATAAGTTTCTGAGGATGCTTCTGTCTAGTTTTAATTTGAAGATATTTCCTTTCTCACCATAGGCCTGAAAGCGCTTGAAATGTCCACTTCCAGATACTACAGCATGAGTGTTTCAAACCTGCTCTATCATAGTGAATGTTCAATTCTGTGACTTCAATGCAAACATCACAAAGTAGTTCCTGAGAATGCTTCTCTCTAGATTTTATATGTAATCCTGCTTCCAACGAAATCCTCAGAGCCATCCGAATATCCACTTTCTGATTCCACAAAAAGAGTGTTTTAAAACTGCTCTGTAGAAACAAAAGTTCAACTCTGTTAGTTGAATACACACATCACAAACAAGTTTCTGAGAATGCTTCTGTCTAGTTTTTATGGGAAGATATTTCCTTTTTCACCATAGGCCTCAAAGCGCTCGAAATGTCCACTTCCAGATAGTGCAGAAAGAGTGTTTCAAACGTGCTCTATAAAAGAGAATATTCAACTCTGTGACTTGAATGGAAACATCACAAAGCAGTTTCTGAGAATGCCTCCGTCTAGATTTTATATGAAGATATTCCCGTTTCCAACGAAATCTTCAATGCTATCTAAATATCAACTTGCAGATTCTACTAAAGGAATGTTTCCAAAATGCTGTATCCAAGCAATGGTTCAACTCTGTTAATTGAGGACATACAGCACAAAGAAGTTTCTGAGAATGCTTCTGTCTAGATTTTATATGAAGATATCCCGTTTCCAACGAAATCCTCAAAGCTATCCAAATATCCACTTGCAGATTCTACAAAAAGATTGTTTCAAAACTGCTGTGTCAAAAGGAAGGTTCAACTCTGTTACTTGAGTACACACATCAAAAAGCAGTTTCTGAGAATGCTTGTTTCTGGTTTTTATGAGAAGATATTTCCTTTTTCACCATAGGTCTCAAAGCGCTGCAAATGTCCACTTCCAAATATTACAAAAAGAGTGTTTCAAACCTGCTCTATGAAAGGAAGTTTTCAAATCTGTGAGTGGAATGCAAACATCACAGAGAAGTTTCTGAGAATGCATCTGTCTTGAGTTTATATGAAGAAATTCCCGTTTCCAATGAAATCTTAAAATCTATCCAAATATCCACCTGCAGATTCTACAAAAGGAGTGTTTCCAAAATGCTGTATCAAAACAAAGGTTCAACTGTGTTCGTTTAGGACACACATCACAAATAAGTTTCTGAGAATCCTTCTGTCTAGTTTTTATTTCAAGATATTTCCTTTCTCCCCATAGGCCTGAAAGCGCTTGAAATGTCCACTTCCAGATACTACAGAGTGTTTCAAACCTGCACTATGAAAAGGAATGTTCAATTCTGTGACTTGAATGCAAACATCAGAAAGAAGTTCCTGAGAATGCTTCTCTCTAGATTTTAAACGTAATCCCGTTTCCAACGAAATCCACAAAGCTATCCAATTATCCACTTTCAGATTGCACCAAAAGAGTGTTTTAAAACTGCTCTGTAAAAAGAAATGTTCAACGCTCTTAGTTGAATACACACATCTCAAACAAGTTTCTGAGAAGGCTTCCGTCTAGTTTTTACGGGAAGATATTTCCTTTTTCACCATAGGCCTCAAAGCGCTCGAAATCTCCACTTCCAGGGAGTGCAGAAAGAGTGTTTCAAACCTGCTCTATAAAAGAATATTTAACTCTGTGACTTGAATGCAAACATCACAGAGCAGTTTCTGACAATGCTTCCGTCTAGATTTTTTATGAAGATATTCCCGTTTCCAACGAAATCTTCAAAGCTATCTAAATATCAACTTGCAGATTCTACTAAAGGAATGTTTCCAAAATGCTGTATCCAAACAAAGGTTCAACTCTGTGAATTGAGGACATACAGCACAAAGAAGTTTCTGAGAATGCTTCTGTCTAGATTTAATATGAAGATAACCCGTTTCCAACGAAATCCTCAAAGCTATCCAAATATCCACTGGCAGATTCTACAAAAAGAGTGTTTCAAAACTGCTCTGTCAAAAGGATGGTTCAACACTGTTACATGAGTACACACAACACAAAGAAGTTTCTGAGAACGCTTCTTTCTGGTTTCTATGAGAAGATATTTCCTTTTTCACCATAGGACTCAAAGCGCTCGAAATGTCCTCTTCCAGGTAGTGCAGAAAGAGTGTTTCAAACCTGCTCTATGAAAGGAAGTGTACAACTCCATGAGCTGAATGCATACATCACTGGGAAGTTTCTGAGAATGCTTCTGTTTGATTTTATATGAAGAAATTCCCGTTTCCAACGAAATCTTCAGGGCTATCCACATATCCACCTGCAGATTCTACAAAAGGAGTGTTTCCAAAATGCTGTATCAAAACCAAGGTTCAACTCTGTTAGTTGAGGACACACATCACAAATAAGTTTCTGAGAATGCTTCTGTCTAGATTTTATATGAAGATATCCCCTTTCCAACGAATCCCTCTAAGCTATCCAAATATCCACCTGCAGATTCTACAAAAAGAGTGTTTCCAAAATGCTGTATCAAAACAAAGTTTCAACTCTGTTAGTTGAGGACACACATCACAAATAAGTTTGAGGATGCTTCTGTCTAGTTTTTATTCGAAGATATTTCCTTTCTCACCATAGGCCTGAAAGCGCTTGAAATGTCCACTTCCAGATACTACAGAATGAGTGTTTCAAACCTGCTCTATAAAAGTGAATGTTCAATTTCCGTGACTTCAATGCAAACATCAGAAAGAAGTTCCTGAGAATGCTTCTCTCTAGATTTTATACGTAATCCCGCTTCCAACGAAATCCTCAGAGCCATCCGAATATCCACTTTCTGATTCCACAAAAAGAGTGTTTTAAAACGGCTCTGTAAAAACAAAAGTTCAACTCTGTTAGTTGAATACACACATCACAAACAAGTTTCTGAGAATGCTTCTGTCTAGTTTTTATGGGAAGATATTTCCTTTTTCACCATAGGCCTCAAAGCGCTCGAAATGTCCGCTTCCAGATAGTGCAGAAAGAGTGTTTCAAACGTGCTCTATAAAAGGGAATATTCAACTCTGTGACTTGAATGGAAACATCACAAAGCAGTTTCTGAGAATGCTTCCCTCTAGATTTTATATGGAGATATTCCCTTTTCCAACGAAATCTTCAAATCTATCTAAATATCAACTTGCAGATTCTACTCAAGGAATGTTTCCAAAATGCTGTATCCAGGCAATGGTTCAACTCTGTTAATTGAGGACATACAGCACAAAGAAGTTTCTGAGAATGCTTCTGTCTAGATTTTATATGAAGATATCCCGTTTCCAACGAAATCCTCAAAGCTATCCAAATATCCACTTGCAGATTCTACAAAAAGATTGTTTCAAAACTGCTGTGTCAAAAGGAAGGTTCAACTCTGTTACTTGAGTACACACATCAAAAAGAAGTTTCTGAGAATGCTTGTTTCTGGTTTTTATGAGAAGATATTTCCTTTTTCACCATAGGCCTCAAAGCACTGCAAATGTCCACTTCCAAATATTACAAAAAGAGTGTTTCAAACCTGCTCTATGAAAGGAAGTTTTCAACTCTATGAGTGGAATGCAAACATCACAGAGAAGTTTCTGAGAATGCATCTGTCTTGAGCTTCTATGAAGAAATTCCCGTTTCCAACGAAATCTTAAAATCTATCCAAATATCCACCTGCAGATCCTACAAAAGGAGTGTTTCCAAAATGCTGTATCAAAACAAAGGTTCAACTGTGTTCGTTTAGGACACACATCACAAATAAGTTTCTGAGAATCCTTCTGTCTAGTTTTTATTTGAAGATATTTCCTTTCTCCCCATAGGCCTGAAAGCGCTTGAAATGTCCACTTCCAGATACTACAGAAAGAGTGTTTCAAACCTGCACTCTGAAAAGGAATGTTCAATTCTGTGACTTGAATGCAAACATCAGAAAGAAGTTCCTGAGAATGCTTCTCTCTAGATTTTATACGTCATCCCGTTTCCAACGAAATCCACAAAGCTATCCAATTATCCACTTTCAGATTCCACAAAAAGAGTGTTTTAAAATTGCTCTGTAACAGAAATGTTCAACTCTGTTAGTTGAATACACACATCACAAACAAGTTTCTGAGACGGCTTCTGTCTAGTTTTTATGGGAAGATATTTCCTTTTAACCATAGGCCTCAAAGAGCTCGAAATATCCACTTCCAGGTAGTGCCGAAAGAGTGTTTCAAACCTACTCTATAAAAGGGAATATTCAACTCTGTGACTTGAATGCAAACATCACAAAGCAGTTTCTGAGAATGCTTCCGTCTAGATTTTCTATGAAGATATTCCCGTTTCCAACGAAATCTTCAAAGCTATCTAAATATCAACTTGCAGATTCTACTAAAGGAATGTCTCCAAAATGCTGTATCCAAACAAAGGTTCAGCTCTGTGAATTGAGGACATACAGCACAAAGAAGTTTCTGAGAATGCTCCTGTCTGGATTTTATATGAAGATAACCCGTTTCCAACGAAATCCTCAAAGCTATCCAAATATCCACTTGCAGATTCTACCAAAAGAGTGTTTCAAAACTGCTCTGTCAAAAGGAAGGTTCAACACTGTTACTTGAGTACACACAACACAAAGAAGTTTCTGAGAATGCTTCTTTCTGGTTTTTATGAGAAGATATTTCCTTTTTCACCATAGGCCTCAAAGAGCTTGAAATGTCCGCTTCCAGGTAGGGCAGAAAGTGTGTTTCAAACCTGCTCTATGAAAGGAAGTGTTCAACTCTACTGAGTTGAATGCAAACATCACAGAGATGTTTCCGAGAATGCTTCTGTCTTGATTTTATATGAAGATATTCCGGTTTCCAACGAAATCTTCAAAGCTATCCAAATATCCACCTGCAGATTCTACAAAAGGAGTGTTTCCAAAATGCTGTATCAAAACAAAGGTTCAACTCTGTTAGTTGAGGACACACATCACAAATAAGTTTCTGAGAATGCTTCTGTCTAGTTTTTATTTGAAGGTATTTCCTTTCTCTCCATAGGCCTGAAAGCGCTTGAAATGCCCACTTCCAGATACTAGAGAAAGAGTGTTTCAAACCTGCTCTATGAAAGGGAATGTTCAATTCTGTGACTTGAATGCAAACATCACAAAGAAGTTCCTGAGAATGCTTCCTCTCTAGATATTATATGTCATCCCGTTTCCAACGAAATCCTCAAAGCTATCCAAATATCCACTTGCAGATTCTACAAAAAGAGTGTTTCAAAACTCCTCTGTCAAAAGGATGGTTCAACACTGTTACATGAGTACACACAACACAAAGAAGTTTCTGAGAATGCTTCTTTCTGGTTTCTATGAGAAGATATTTCCTTTTTCACCATAGGACTCAAAGCACTCGAAATGTCCTCTTCCAGGTAGTGCAGAAAGAGTGTTTCAAACCTGCTCTATGAAAGGAAGTGTACAACTCCATGAGCTCAATGCAAACATCACTGAGAAGTTTCTGAGAATGCTTCTGTTTGATTTTATATGAAGAAATTCCCGTTTCCAACGAAATCTTCAGAGCTATCCACATATCCACATGCAGATTCTACAAAAGGAGTGTTTCCAAAATGCTGTATCAAAACCAAGGTTCAACTCTGTTAGTTGAGGACACACATCACAAATAAGTTTCTGAGAATGCTTCTGTCTAGATTTTATATGAAGATATCCCCTTTCCAACGAATCCCTCTAAGCTATCCAAATATCCACCTGCAGATTCTACAAAAAGAGTGTTTCCAAAATGCTGTATCAAAACAAAGTTTCAACTCTGTTAGTTGAGGACACACATCACAAATAAGTTTCTGAGGATGCTTCTGTCTAGTTTTTATTCGAAGATATTTCCTTTCTCACCATAGGCCTGAAAGCGCTTGAAATGTCCACTTCCAGATACTACAGAATGAGTGTTTCAAACCTGCTCTATAAAAGTGAATGTTCAATTCCGTGACTTCAATGCAAACATCAGAAAGAAGTTCCTGAGAATGCTTCTCTCTAGATTTTATACGTAATCCCGCTTCCAACGAAATCCTCAGTAGCCATCCGAATATCCACTTTCTGATTCCACAAAAAGAGTGTTTTAAAACGGCTCTGTAAAAACAAAAGTTCAACTCTGTTAGTTGAATACACACATCACAAACAAGTTTCTGAGAATGCTTCTGTCTAGTTTTTATGGGAAGATATTTCCTTTTTCACCATAGGCCTCAAAGCGCTCGAAATGTCCGCTTCCAGATAGTGCAGAAAGAGTGTTTCAAACGTGCTCTATAAAAGGGAATATTCAACTCTGTGACTTGAATGGAAACATCACAAAGCAGTTTCTGAGAATGCTTCCCTCTAGATTTTATATGGAGATATTCCCTTTTCCAACGAAATCTTCAAATCTATCTAAATATCAACTTGCAGATTCTACTCAAGGAATGTTTCCAAAATGCTGTATCCAGGCAATGGTTCAACTCTGTTAATTGAGGACATACAGCACAAAGAAGTTTCTGAGAATGCTTCTGTCTAGATTTTATATGAAGATATCCCGTTTCCAACGAAATCCTCAAAGCTATCCAAATATCCACTTGCAGATTCTACAAAAAGATTGTTTCAAAACTGCTGTGTCAAGAGGAAGGTTCAACTCTGTTACTTGAGTACACACATCAAAAAGAAGTTTCTGAGAATGCTTGTTTCTGGTTTTTATGAGAAGATATTTCCTTTTTCACCATAGGCCTCAAAGCGCTGCAAATGTCCACTTCCAAATATTACAAAAAGAGTGTTTCAAACCTGCTCTATGAAAGGAAGTTTTCAACTCTATGAGTGGAATGCAAACATCACAGAGAAGTTTCTGAGAATGCATCTGTCTTGAGTTTCTATGCAGAAATTCCCGTTTCCAACGAAATCTTAAAATCTATCCAAATATCCACCTGCAGATCCTACAAAAGGAGTGTTTCCAAAATGCTGTATCAAAACAAAGGTTCAACTGTGTTCGTTTAGGACACACATCACAAATAAGTTTCTGAGAACCCTTCTGTCTAGTTTTTATTTGAAGATATTTCCTTTCTCCCCACAGGCCTGAAAGCGCTTGAAATGTCCACTTCCAGATACTACAGAAAGAGTGTTTCAAACCTGCACTATGAAAAGGAATGTTCAATTCTGTGACTTGAATGCAAACATCAGAAAGAAGTTCCTGAGAATGCTTCTCTCTAGATTTTATACGTCATCCCGTTTCCAACGAAATCCACAAAGCTATCCAATTATCCACTTTCAGATTCCACAGAAAGAGTGTTTTAAAATTGCTCTGTAACAGAAATGTTCAACTCTGGTAGTTGAATACACACATCACAAACAAGTTTCTGAGACGGCTTCTGTCTAGTTTTTATGGGAAGATATTTCTTTTTAACCATAGGCCTCAAAGAGCTCGAAATATCCACTTCCAGGTAGTGCCGAAAGAGTGTTTCAAACCTACTCTATAAAAGGGAATATTCAACTCTGTGACTTGAATGCAAACATCACAAAGCAGTTTCTGAGAATGCTTCCGTCTAGATTTTCTATGAAGATATTCCCGTTTCCAACGAAATCTTCAAAGCTATCTAAATATCAACTTGCAGATTCTACTAAAGGAATGTCTCCAAAATGCTGTATCCAAACAAAGGTTCAGCTCTGTGAATTGAGGACATACAGCACAAAGAAGTTTCTGAGAATGCTCCTGTCTGGATTTTATAGGAAGATAACCCGTTTCCAACGAAATCCTCAAAGCTATCCAAATATCCACTTGCAGATTCTACCAAAAGAGTGTTTCAAAACTACTCTGTCAAAAGGAAGGTTCAACACTGTTACTTGAGTACACACAACACAAAGAAGTTTCTGAGAATGCTTCTTTCTGGTTTTTATGAGAAGATATTTCCTTTTTCACCATAGGCCTCAAAGCGCTCGAAATGTCCGCTTCCAGGTAGTGCAGAAAGAGTGTTTCAAACCTGCTCTATGAAAGGAAGTGTTCAACTCTACTGAGTTGAATGCAAACATCACAGAGATGTTTCCGAGAATGCTTCTGTCTTGATTTTATATGAAGATATTCCGGTTTCCAACAAAATCTTCAAAGCTATCCAAATATCCACCTGCAGATTCTACAAAAGGAGTGTTTCCAAAATGCTGTATCAAAACAAAGGTTCAACTCTGTTAGTTGAGGACACACATCACAAATAAGTTTCTGAGAATGCTTCTGTCTAGTTTTTATTTGAAGGTATTTCCTTTCTCTCCATAGGCCTGAAAGCGCTTGAAATGCCCACTTCCAGATACTAGAGAAAGAGTGTTTCAAACCTGCTCTATGAAAGGGAATGTTCAATTCTGTGACTTGAATGCAAACATCACAAAGAAGTTCCTGAGAATGCTTCTCTCTAGATATTATATGTCATCCCGTTTCCAACGAAATCCTCAAAGCTATCCAAATATCCACTTGCAGATTCTACAAAAAGAGTGTTTCAAAACTGCTCTGTCAAAAGGATGGTTCAACACTGTTACATGAGTACACACAACACAAAGAAGTTTCTGAGAATGCTTCTTTCTGGTTTCTATGAGAAGATATTTCCTTTTTCACCATAGGACTCAAAGCGCTCGAAATGTCCTCTGCCAGGTAGTGCAGAAAGAGTGTTTCAAACCTGCTCTATGAAAGGAAGTGTACAACTCCATGAGCTGAATGCAAACATCACTGAGAAGTTTCTGAGAATGCTTCTGTTTGATTTTATATGAAGAAATTCCCGTTTCCAACGAAATCTTCAGAGCTATCCACATATCCACCTGCAGATTCTACAAAAGGAGTGTTTCCAAAATGCTGTATCAAAACCAAGGTTCAACTCTGTTAGTTGAGGACACACATCACAAATAAGTTTCTGAGAATGCTTCTGTCTAGATTTTATATGAAGATATCCCCTTTCCAACGAATCCCTCTAAGCTATCCAAATATCCACCTGCAGATTCTACAAAAAGAGTGTTTCCAAAATGCTGTATCAAAACAAAGTTTCAACTCTGTTAGTTGAGGACACACATCACAAATAAGTTTGAGGATGCTTCTGTCTAGTTTTTATTCGAAGATATTTCCTTTCTCACCATAGGCCTGAAAGCGCTTGAAATGTCCACTTCCAGATACTACAGAATGAGTGTTTCAAACCTGCTCTATCAAAGTGAATGTTCAATTCTGTGACTTCAATGCAAACATCACAAAGAAGTTCCTGAGAATGCTTCTCTCTAGATTTTATACGTAATCCCGCTTCCAACGAAATCCTCAGAGCCATCCGAATATCCACTTTCTGATTCCACAAAAAGAGTGTTTTAAAACGGCTCTGTAAAAACAAAAGTTCAACTCTGTTAGTTGAATACACACATCACAAACAAGTTTCTGAGAATGCTTCTGTCTAGTTTTTATGGGAAGATATTTCCTTTTTCACCATAGGCCTCAAAGCGCTCGAAATGTCCACTTCCAGATAGTGCAGAAAGATTGTTTCAAACGTGCTCTATAAAAGGGAATATTCAACTCTGTGACTTGAATGGAAACATCATAAAGCAGTTTCTGAGAATGCTTCCTTCTAGATTTTATATGGAGATATTCCCTTTTCCAACGAAATCTTCAAATCTATCTAAGTATCAACTTGCAGATTCTACTCAAGGAATGTTTCCAAAATGCTGTATCCAAGCAATGGTTCAACTCTGTTAATTGAGGACATACAGCACAAAGAAGTTTCTGAGAATGCTTCTGTCTAGATTTTATATGAAGATATCCCGTTTCCAACGAAATCATCAAAGCTATCCAAATATCCACTTGCAGATTCTACAAAAAGATTGTTTCAAAACTGCTGTGTCAAAAGGAAGGTTCAACTCTGTTATTTGAGTACACACATCAAAAAGAAGTTTCTGAGAATGCTTGTTTCTGGTTTTTATGAGAAGATATTTCCTTTTTCACCATAGGCCTCAAAGCGCTGCAAATGTCCACTTCCAAATATTACAAAAAGAGTGTTTCAAACCTGCTCTATGAAAGGAAGTTTTCAACTCTATGAGTGGAATGCAAACATCACAGAGAAGTTTCTGAGAATGCATCTGTCTTGAGTTTCTATGCAGAAATTCCCGTTTCCAATGAAATCTTAAAATCTATCCAAATATCCACCTGCAGATCCTACAAAACGAGTGTTTCCAAAATGCTGTATCAAAACAAAGGTTCAACTGTGTTCGCTTAGGACACACATCACAAATAAGTTTCTGAGAATCCTTCTGTCTAGTTTTTATTTGAAGATATTTCCTTTCTCCCCATAGGCCTGAAAGCGCTTGAAATGTCCACTTCCAGAAACTACAGAAAGAGTGTTTCAAACCTGCACTCTGAAAAGGAATGTCAATTCTGTGACTTGAATGCAAACATCAGAAAGAAGTTCCTGAGAATGCTTCTCTCTAGATTTTATACGTCATCCCGTTTCCAACGAAATCCACAAAGCTATCCAATTATCCACTTTCAGATTCCACAAAAAGAGTGTTTTAAATTGCTCTGTAACAGAAATGTTCAACTCTGTTAGTTGAATACACACATCACAAACAAGTTTCTGAGACGGCTTCTGTCTAGTTTTTATGGGAAGATATTTCCTTTTAACCATAGGCCTCAAAGAGCTCGAAATATCCACTTCCAGGTAGTGCCGAAAGAGTGTTTCAAACCTACTCTATAAAAGGGAATATTCAACTCTGTGACTTGAATGCAAACATCACAAAGCAGTTTCTGAGAATGCTTCCGTCTAGATTTTCTATGAAGATATTCCCGTTTCCAACGAAATCTTCAAAGCTATCTAAATATCAACTTGCAGATTCTACTAAAGGAATGTCTCCAAAATGCTGTATCCAAACAAAGGTTCAGCTCTGTGAATTGAGGACATACAGCACAAAGAAGTTTCTGAGAATGCTCCTGTCTGGATTTTATAGGAAGATAACCCGTTCCCAACGAAATCCTCAAAGCTATCCAAATATCCACTTGCAGATTCTACCAAAAGAGTGTTTCAAAACTACTCTGTCAAAAGGAAGGTTCAACACTGTTACTTGAGTACACACAACACAAAGAAGTTTCTGAGAATGCTTCTTTCTGGTTTTTATGAGAAGATATTTCCTTTTTCACCATAGGCCTCAAAGCGCTCGAAATGTCCGCTTCCAGGTAGTGCAGAAAGAGTGTTTCAAACCTGCTCTATGAAAGGAAGTGTTCAACTCTACTGAGTTGAATGCAAACATCACAGAGATGTTTCCGAGAATGCTTCTGTCTTGATTTTATATGAAGATATTCCGGTTTCCAACGAAATCTTCAAAGCTATCCAAATATCCACCTGCAGATTCTACAAAAGGAGTGTTTCCAAAATGCTGTATCAAAACAAAGGTTCAACTCTGTTAGTTGAGGACACACATCACAAATAAGTTTCTGAGAATGCTTCTGTCTAGTTTTTATTTGAAGGTATTTCCTTTCTCTCCATAGGCCTGAAAGCGCTTGAAATGCCCACTTCCAGATACTAGAGAAAGAGTGTTTCAAACCTGCTCTATGAAAGGGAATGTTCAATTCTGTGACTTGAATGCAAACATCACAAAGAAGTTCCTGAGAATGCTTCTCTCTAGATATTATATGTCATCCCGTTTCCAACGAAATCCTCAAAGCTATCCAAATATCCACTTGCAGATTCTACAAAAAGAGTGTTTCAAAACTCCTCTGTCAAAAGGATGGTTCAACACTGTTACATGAGTACACACAACACAAAGAAGTTTCTGAGAATGCTTCTTTCTGGTTTCTATGAGAAGATATTTCCTTTTTCACCATAGGACTCAAAGCGCTCGAAATGTCCTCTTCCAGGTAGTGCAGAAAGAGTGTTTCAAACCTGCTCTATGAAAGGAAGTGTACAACTCCATGAGCTGAATGCAAACATCACTGAGAAGTTTCTGAGAATGCTTCTGTTTGATTTTATATGAAGAAATTCCCGTTTCCAACGAAATCTTCAGAGCTATCCACATATCCACCTGCAGATTCTACAAAAGGAGTGTTTCCAAAATGCTGTATCAAAACCAAGGTTCAACTCTGTTAGTTGAGGACACACATCACAAATAAGTTTCTGAGAATGCTTCTGTCTAGATTTTATATGAAGATATCCCCTTTCCAACGAATCCCTCTAAGCTATCAAAATATCCACCTGCAGATTCTACAAAAAGAGTGTTTCCAAAATGCTGTATCAAAACAAAGTTTCAACTCTGTTAGTTGAGGACACACATCACAAATAAGTTTCTGAGGATGCTTCTGTCTAGTTTTTATTCGAAGATATTTCCTTTCTCACCATAGGCCTGAAAGCGCTTGAAATGTCCACTTCCAGATACTACAGAATGAGTGTTTCAAGCCTGCTCTATAAAAGTGAATGTTCAATTCCGTGACTTCAATGCAAACATCAGAAAGAAGTTCCTGAGAATGCTTCTCTCTAGATTTTATATGTAATCCCGCTTCCAACGAAATCCTCAGAGCCATCCGAATATCCACTTTCTGATTCCACAAAAAGAGTGTTTTAAAACGGCTCTGTAAAAACAAAAGTTCAACTCTGTTAGTTGAATACACACATCACAAACAAGTTTCTGAGAATGCTTCTGTCTAGTTTTTATGGGAAGATATTTCCTTTTTCACCATAGGCCTCAAAGCGCTCGAAATGTCCACTTCCAGATAGCGCAGAAAGAGTGTTTCAAACGTGCTCTATAAAAGGGAATATTCAACTCTGTGACTTGAATGGAAACATCACAAAGCAGTTTCTGAGAATGCTTCCCTCTAGATTTTATATGGAGATATTCCGTTTTCGAACGAAATCTTCAAATCTATCTAAATATCAACTTGCAGATTCTACTCAAGGAATGTTTCCAAAATGCTGTATGCAAGCAATGGTTCAACTCTGTTAATTGAGGTCATACAGCACAAAGAAGTTTCTGAGAATGCTTCTGTCTAGATTTTATATGAAGATATCCCGTTTCCAACGAAATCCTCAAAGCTATCCAAATATCCACTTGCAGATTCTACAAAAAGATTGTTTCAAAACTGCTGTGTCAAAAGGAAGGTTCAACTCTGTTACTTGAGTACACACATCAAAAAGAAGTTTCTGAGAATGCTTGTTTCTGGTTTTTATGAGAAGATATTTCCTTTTTCACCATAGGCCTCAAAGCGCTGCAAATGTCCACTTCCAAATATTACAAAAAGAGTGTTTCAAACCTGCTCTATGAAAGGAAGTTTTCAACTCTATGAGTGGAATGCACACATCACAGAGAAGTTTCTGAGAATGCATCTGTCTTGAGTTTCTATGCAGAAATTCCCGTTTCCAACGAAATCTTAAAATCTATCCAAATATCCACCTGCAGATCCTACAAAAGGAGTGTTTCCAAAATGCTGTATCAAAACAAAGGTTCAACTGTGTTCGTTTAGGACACACATCACAAATAAGTTTCTGAGAATCCTTCTGTCTAGTTTTTATTTGAAGATATTTCCTTTCTCCCCGTAGGCCTGAAAGCGCTTGAAATGTCCACTTCCAGATACTACAGAAAGAGTGTTTCAAACCTGCACTCTGAAAAGGAATGTTCAATTCTGTGACTTGAATGCAAACATCAGAAAGAAGTTCCTGAGAATGCTTCTCTCTAGATTTTATACGTCATCCCGTTTCCAACGAAATCCACAAAGCTATCCAATTATCCACTTTCAGATTCCACAGAAAGAGTGTTTTAAAATTGCTCTGTAACAGAAATGTTCAACTCTGGTAGTTGAATACACACATCACAAACAAGTTTCTGAGACGGCTTCTGTCTAGTTTTTATGGGAAGATATTTCCTTTTAACCATAGGCCTCAAAGAGCTCGAAATATCCACTTCCAGGTAGTGCCGAAAGAGTGTTTCAAACCTACTCTATAAAAGGGAATATTCAACTCTGTGACTTGAATGCAAACATCACAAAGCAGTTTCTGAGAATGCTTCCGTCTAGATTTTCTATGAAGATATTCCCGTTTCCAACGAAATCTTCAAAGCTATCTAAATATCAACTTGCAGATTCTACTAAAGGAATGTCTCCAAAATGCTGTATCCAAACAAAGGTTCAGCTCTGTGAATTGAGGACATACAGCACAAAGAAGTTTCTGAGAATGCTCCTGTCTGGATTTTATAGGAAGATAACCCGTTTCCAACGAAATCCTCAAAGCTATCCAAATATCCACTTGCAGATTCTACCAAAAGAGTGTTTCAAAACTACTCTGTCAAAAGGAAGGTTCAACACTGTTACTTGAGTACACACAACACAAAGAAGTTTCTGAGAATGCTTCTTTCTGGTTTTTATGAGAAGATATTTCCTTTTTCACCATAGGCCTCAAAGCGCTCGAAATGTCCGCTTCCAGGTAGTGCAGAAAGAGTGTTTCAAACCTGCTCTATGAAAGGAAGTGTTCAACTCTACTGAGTTGAATGCAAACATCACAGAGATGTTTCCGAGAATGCTTCTGTCTTGATTTTATATGAAGATATTCCGGTTTCCAACGAAATCTTCAAAGCTATCCAAATATCCACCTGCAGATTCTACAAAAGGAGTGTTTCCAAAATGCTGTATCAAAACAAAGGTTCAACTCTGTTAGTTGAGGACACACATCACAAATAAGTTTCTGAGAATGCTTCTGTCTAGTTTTTATTTGAAGGTATTTCCTTTCTCTCCATAGGCCTGAAAGCGCTTGAAATGCCCACTTCCAGATACTAGAGAAAGAGTGTTTCAAACCTGCTCTATGAAAGGGAATGTTCAATTCTGTGACTTGAATGCAAACATCACAAAGAAGTTCCTGAGAATGCTTCTCTCTAGATATTATATGTCATCCCGTTTCCAACGAAATCCTCAAAGCTATCCAAATATCCACTTGCAGATTCTACAAAAAGAGTGTTTCAAAACTGCTCTGTCAAAAGGATGGTTCAACACTGTTACATGAGTACACACAACACAAAGAAGTTTCTGAGAATGCTTCTTTCTGGTTTATATGAGAAGATATTTCCTTTTTCACCATAGGACTCAAAGCGCTCGAAATGTCCTCTTCCAGGTAGTGCAGAAAGAGTGTTTCAAACCGGCTCTATGAAGGGAAGTGTTCAACTCCATGAACTGAATGCAAACATCACTGAGAAGTTTCTGAGAATGCTTCTGTTTGATTTTATATGAAGAAATTCCCGTTTCCAACGAAATCTTCAGAGCTATCCACATATCCACCTGCAGATTCTACAAAAGGAGTGTTTCCAAAATGCTGTATCAAAACCAAGGTTCAACTCTGTTAGTTGAGGACACACATCACAAATAAGTTTCTGAGAATGCTTCTGTCTAGATTTTATATGAAGATATCCCCTTTCCAACGAATCCCTCTAAGCTATCCAAATATCCACCTGCAGATTCTACAAAAAGAGTGTTTCCAAAATGCTGTATCAAAACAAAGTTTCAACTCTGTTAGTTGAGGACACACATCACAAATAAGTTTCTGAGGATGCTTCTGTCTAGTTTTTATTCGAAGATATTTCCTTTCTCACCATAGGCCTGAAAGCGCTTGAAATGCCCACTTCCAGATACTACAGAATGAGTGTTTCAAACCTGCTCTATAAAAGTGAATGTTCAATTCCGTGACTTCAATGCAAACATCAGAAAGAAGTTCCTGAGAATGCTTCTCTCTAGATTTTATACGTAATCCCGCTTCCAACGAAATCCTCAGAGCCATCCGAATATCCACTTTCTGATTCCACAAAAAGAGTGTTTTAAAACGGCTCTGTAAAAACAAAAGTTCAACTCTGTTAGTTGAATACACACATCACAAATAAGTTTCTGAGAATGCTTCTGTCTAGTTTTTATGGGAAGATATTTCCTTTTTCACCATAGGCCTCAAAGCGCTCGAAATGTCCGCTTCCAGATAGTGCAGAAAGAGTGTTTCAAACGTGCTCTATAAAAGGGAATATTCAACTCTGTGACTTGAATGGAAACATCACAAAGCAGTTTCTGAGAATGCTTCCCTCTAGATTTTATATGGAGATATTCCCTTTTCCAACGAAATCTTCAAATCTATCTAAATATCAACTTGCAGATTCTACTCAAGGAATGTTTCCAAAATGCTGTATCCAGGCAATGGTTCAACTCTGTTAATTGAGGACATACAGCACAAAGAAGTTTCTGAGAATGCTTCTGTCTAGATTTTATATGAAGATATCCCGTTTCCAACGAAATCCTCAAAGCTATCCAAATATCCACTTGCAGATTCTACAAAAAGATTGTTTCAAAACTGCTGTGTCAAAAGGAAGGTTCAACTCTGTTACTTGAGTACACACATCAAAAAGAAGTTTCTGAGAATGCTTGTTTCTGGTTTTTATGAGAAGATATTTCCTTTTTCACCATAGGCCTCAAAGCGCTGCAAATGTCCACTTCCAAATATTACAAAAAGAGTGTTTCAAACCTGCTCTATGAAAGGAAGTTTTCAACTCTATGAGTGGAATGCAAACATCACAGAGAAGTTTCTGAGAATGCATCTGTCTTGAGTTTATATGCAGAAATTCCCGTTTCCAACGAAATCTTAAAATCTATCCAAATATCCACCTGCAGATCCTACAAAAGGAGTGTTTCCAAAATGCTGTATCAAAACAAAGGTTCAACTGTGTTCGTTTAGGACACACATCACAAATAAGTTTCTGAGAATCCTTCTGTCTAGTTTTTATTTGAAGATATTTCCTTTCTCCCCGTAGGCCTGAAAGCGCTTGAAATGTCCACTTCCAGATACTACAGAAAGAGTGTGTTTCAAACCTGCACTCTGAAAAGGAATGTTCAATTCTGTGACTTGAATGCAAACATCAGAAAGAAGTTCCTGAGAATGCTTCTCTCTAGATTTTATACGTCATCCCGTTTCCAACGAAATCCACAAAGCTATCCAATTATCCACTTTCAGATTCCACAAAAAGAGTGTTTTAAAATTGCTCTGTAACAGAAATGTTCAACTCTGGTAGTTGAATACACACATCACAAACAAGTTTCTGAGACGGCTTCTGTCTAGTTTTTATGGGAAGATATTTCCTTTTAACCATAGGCCTCAAACAGCTCGAAATATCCACTTCCAGGTAGTGCCGAAAGAGTGTTTCAAACCTACTCTATAAAAGGGAATATTCAACTCTGTGACTTGAATGCAAACATCACAAAGCAGTTTATGAGAATGCTTCCCGTCTAGATTTTCTATGAAGATATTCCCGTTTCCAACGAAATCTTCAAAGCTATCTAAATATCAACTTGCAGATTCTACTAAAGGAATGTCTCCAAAATGCTGTATCCAAACAAAGGTTCAGCTCTGTGAATTGAGGACATACAGCACAAAGAAGTTTCTGAGAATGCTCCTGTCTGGATTTTATAGGAAGATAACCCGTTTCCAACGAAATCCTCAAAGCTATCCAAATATCCACTTGCAGATTCTACCAAAAGAGTGTTTCAAAACTGCTCTGTCAAAAGGAAGGTTCAACACTGTTACTTGAGTACACACAACACAAAGAAGTTTCTGAGAATGCTTCTTTCTGGTTTTTATGAGAAGATATTTCCTTTTTCACCATAGGCCTCAAAGCGCTCGAAATGTCCGCTTCCAGGTAGTGCAGAAAGAGTGTTTCAAACCTGCTCTATGAAAGGAAGTGTTCAACTCTACTGAGTTGAATGCAAACATCACAGAGATGTTTCCGAGAATGCTTCTGTCTTGATTTTATATGAAGATATTCCGGTTTCCAACGAAATCTTCAAAGCTATCCAAATATCCACCTGCAGATTCTACAAAAGGAGTGTTTCCAAAATGCTGTATCAAAACAAAGGTTCAACTCTGTTAGTTGAGGACACACATCACAAATAAGTTTCTGAGAATGCTTCTGTCTAGTTTTTATTTGAAGGTATTTCCTTTCTCTCCATAGGCCTGAAAGCGCTTGAAATGCCCACTTCCAGATACTAGAGAAAGAGTGTTTCAAACCTGCTCTATGAAAGGGAATGTTCAATTCTGTGACTTCAATGCAAACATCACAAAGAAGTTCCTGAGAATGCTTCTCTCTAGATTTTATACGTAATCCCGCTTCCAACGAAATCCTCAGAGCCATCCGAATATCCACTTTCTGATTCCACAAAAAGAGTGTTTTAAAACGGCTCTGTAAAAACAAAAGTTCAACTCTGTTAGTTGAATACACACATCACAAACAAGTTTCTGAGAATGCTTCTGTCTAGTTTTTATGGGAAGATATTTCCTTTTTCACCATAGGCCTCAAAGCGCTCGAAATGTCCGCTTCCAGATAGTGCAGAAAGAGTGTTTCAAACGTGCTCTATAAAAGGGAATATTCAACTCTGTGACTTGAATGGAAACATCACAAAGCAGTTTCTGAGAATGCTTCCCTCTAGATTTTATATGGAGATATTCCCTTTTCCAACGAAATCTTCAAATCTATCTAAATATCAACTTGCAGATTCTACTCAAGGAATGTTTCCAAAATGCTGTATCCAGGCAATGGTTCAACTCTGTTAATTGAGGACATACAGCACAAAGAAGTTTCTGAGAATGCTTCTGTCTAGATTTTATATGAAGATATCCCGTTTCCAACGAAATCCTCAAAGCTATCCAAATATCCACTTGCAGATTCTACAAAAAGATTGTTTCAAAACTGCTGTGTCAAGAGGAAGGTTCAACTCTGTTACTTGAGTACACACATCAAAAAGAAGTTTCTGAGAATGCTTGTTTCTGGTTTTTATGAGAAGATATTTCCTTTTTCACCATAGGCCTCAAAGCGCTGCAAATGTCCACTTCCACATATTACAAAAAGAGTGTTTCAAACCTGCTCTATGAAAGGAAGTTTTCAACTCTATGAGTGGAATGCAAACATCACAGAGAAGTTTCTGAGAATGCATCTGTCTTGAGTTTATATGAAGAAATTCCCGTTTCCAATGAAATCTTAAAATCTATCCAAATATCCACCTGCAGATTCTACAAAAGGAGTGTTTCCAAAATGCTGTATCAAAACAAAGGTTCAACTGTGTTCGTTTAGGACACACATCACAAATAAGTTTCTGAGAATCCTTCTGTCTAGTTTTTATTTCAAGATATTTACTTTCTCCCCATAGGCTTGAAAGCGCTTGAAATGTCCACTTCCAGATACTACAGAGTGTTTCAAACCTGCACTATGAAAAGGAATGTTCAATTCTGTGACTTGAATGCAAACATCAGAAAGAAGTTCCTGAGAATGCTTCTCTCTAGATTTTAAACGTAATCCCGTTTCCAACGAAATCCACAAAGCTATCCAATTATCCACTTTCAGATTCCACCAAAAGAGTGTTTTAAAACTGCTCTGTAAAAAGAAATGTTCAACGCTCTTAGTTGAATACACACATCTCAAACAAGTTTCTGAGAAGGCTTCCGTCTAGTTTTTATGGGAAGATATTTCCTTTTTCACCATAGGCCTCAAAGCGCTCGAAATCTCCACTTCCAGGGAGTGCAGAAAGAGTGTTTCAAACCTGCTCTATAAAAGAATATTTAACTCTGTGACTTGAATGCAAACATCACAGAGCAGTTTCTGACAATGCTTCCGTCTAGATTTTTTATGAAGATATTCCCGTTTCCAACGAAATCTTCAAAGCTATCTCAATATCAACTTGCAGATTCTACTAAAGGAATGTTTCCAAAATGCTGTATCCAAACAAAGGTTCAACTCTGTGAATTGAGGACATACAGCACAAAGAAGTTTCTGAGAATGCTTCTGTCTAGATTTAATATGAAGATAACCCGTTTCCAACGAAATCCTCAAAGCTATCCAAATATCCACTGGCAGATTCTACAAAAAGAGTGTTTCAAAACTGCTCTGTCAAAAGGATGGTTCAACACTGTTACATGAGTACACACAACACAAAGAAGTTTCTGAGAACGCTTCTTTCTGGTTTTTATGAGAGGATATTTCCTTTTTCACCATAGGCCTCAAAGCGCTCGAAATGTCCACTTCCAGGTAGTGCAGAAAGAGTGTTTCAAACCTGCTCTATGAAAGGAAGTGTTCAACTCCATGAGCTGAATGCAAACATCACAGAGAAGTTCCTGAGAATGCTTCTGTTTGATTTTATATGAAGAAATTCCCGTTTCCAACGAAATCTTCAAAGCTATCCACATATCCACCTGCAGATTCTTCAAAAGGAGTGTTTCCAAAATGCTGTATCAAAACCAAGGTTCAACTCTGTTAGTTGAGGACACACATCACAAATAAGTTTCTGAGAATGCTTCTGTCTAGATTTTATATGAAGATATCCCCTTTCCAACGAATCCCTCTAAGCTATCAAAATATCCACCTGCAGATTCTACAAAAAGAGTGTTTCCAAAATGCTGTATCAAAACAAAGTTTCAACTCTGTTAGTTGAGGACACACATCACAAATAAGTTTCTGAGGATGCTTCTGTCTAGTTTTAATTTGAAGATATTTCCTTTCTCACCATAGGCCTGAAAGCGCTTGAAATGTCCACTTCCAGATACTACAGCATGAGTGTTTCAAACCTGCTCTATCATAGTGAATGTTCAATTCTGTGACTTCAATGCAAACATCACAAAGTAGTTCCTGAGAATGCTTCTCTCTAGATTTTATATGTAATCCCGCTTCCAACGAAATCCTCAAAGCCATCCGAATATCCACTTTCTGATTCCACAAAAAGATTGTTTTAAAACTGCTCTGTAAAAACAAAAGTTCAAGTCTGTTAGTTGAATACACACATCACAAACAAGTTTCTGAGAATGCTTCTGTCTAGTTTTTATGGGAAGATATTTCCTTTTTCACCATAGGCTTCAAAGCGCTCGAAATGTCCACTTCCAGATAGTGCAGAAAGAGTGTTTCAAACGTGCTCTATAAAAGAGAATATTCAACTCTGTGACTTGAATGGAAACATCACAAAGCAGTTTCTGAGAATGCCTCCGTCTAGATTTTATATGAAGATATTCCCGTTTCCAACGAATTCTTCAAATCTATCTAAATATCAACTTGCAGATTCTACTAAAGGAATGTTTCCAAAATGCTGTATCCAAGCAATGGTTCAACTCTGTTAATTGAGGACATACAGAACAAAGAAGTTTCTGAGAATGCTTCTGTCTAGATTTTATATGAAGATATCCCGTTTCCAACGAAATCCTCAAAGCTATCCAAATATCCACTTGCAGATTCTACAGAAAGATTGTTTCAAAACTGCTGTGTCAAAAGGAAGGTTCAACTCTGTTACTTGAGTACACACATCAAAAAGCAGTTTCTCAGAATGCTTGTTTCTGGTTTTTATGAAAAGATATTTCCTTTTTCACCATAGGCCTCAAAGCGCTGCAAATGTCCACTTCCAAATATTACAAAAAGAGTGTTTCAAACCTGCTCTATGAAAGGAAGTTTTCAACTCTGTGAGTGGAATGCAAACATCACAGAGAAGTTTCGGAGAATGCATCTGTCTTGAGTTTATATGAAGAAATTCCCGTTTCCAATGAAATCTTAAAATCTATCCAAATATCCACCTGCAGATTCTACAAAAGGAGTGTTTCCAAAATGCTGTATCAAAACAAAGGTTCAACTGTGTTCGTTTAGGACACACATCACAAATAAGTTTCTGAGAATCCTTCTGTCTAGTTTTTATTTCAAGATATTTCCTTTCTCCCCATAGGCTTGAAAGCGCTTGAAATGTCCACTTCCAGATACTACAGAGTGTTTCAAACCTGCACTATGAAAAGGAATGTTCAATTCTGTGACTTGAATGCAAACATCAGAAAGAAGTTCCTGAGAATGCTTCTCTCTATATTTTAAACGTAATCCCGTTTCCAACGAAATCCACAAAGCTATCCCATTAACCACTTTCAGATTCCACCAAAAGAGTGTTTTAAAACTGCTCTGTAAAAAGAAATGTTCAACGCTCTTAGTTGAATACACACATCTCAAACAAGTTTCTGAGAAGGCTTCCGTCTAGTTTTTATGGGAAGATATTTCCTTTTTCACCATAGGCCTCAAAGCGCTCGAAATCTCCACTTCCAGGGAGTGCAGAAAGAGTGCTTCAAACCTGCTCTATAAAAGAATATTTAACTCTGTGACTTGAATGCAAACATCACAGAGCAGTTTCTGACAATGCTTCCGTCTAGATTTTTTATGAAGATATTCCCGTTTCCAACGAAATCTTCAAAGCTATCTAAATATCAACTTGCAGATTCTACTAAAGGAATGTTTCCAAAATGCTGTATCCAAACAAAGGTTCAACTCTGTGAATTGAGGACATACAGCACAAAGAAGTTTCTGAGAATGCTTCTGTCTAGATTTAATATGAAGATAACCCGTTTCCAACGAAATCCTCAAAGCTATCCAAATATCCACTGGCAGATTCTACAAAAAGAGTGTTTCAAAACTGCTCTGTCAAAAGGATGGTTCAACACTGTTACATGAGTACACACAACACAAAGAAGTTTCTGAGAACGCTTCTTTCTGGTTTTTATGAGAGGATATTTCCTTTTTCACCATAGGCCTCAAAGCGCTCGAAATGTCCACTTCCAGGTAGTGCAGAAAGAGTGTTTCAAACCTGCTCTATGAAAGGAAGTGTTCAACTCCATGAGCTGAATGCAAACATCACAGAGAAGTTCCTGAGAATGCTTCTGTTTGATTTTATATGAAGAAATTCCCGTTTCCAACGAAATCTTCAAAGCTATCCACATATCCACCTGCAGATTCTTCAAAAGGAGTGTTTCCAAAATGCTGTATCAAAACCAAGGTTCAACTCTGTTAGTTCAGGACACACATCACAAATAAGTATCTGAGAATGCTTCTGTCTAGATTTTATATGAATTTATCCCCTTTCCAACGAATCCCTCTAAGCTATCCAAGTATCCACCTGCAGATTCTACAAAAAGAGTGTTTCCAAAATGCTGTATCAAAACAAAGTTTCAACTCTGTTAGTTGAGGACACACATCACAAATAAGTTTCTGAGGATGCTTCTGTCTAGTTTTAATTTGAAGATATTTCCTTTCTCCCCATAGGCCTGAAAGCGCTTGAAATGTCCACTTCCAGATACTACAGCATGAGTGTTTCAAACCTGCTCTATCAAAGTGAATGTTCAATTCTGTGACTTCAATGCAAACATCACAAAGTAGTTCCTGAGAATGCTTCTCTCTACATTTTATATGTAATCCCGCTTCCAACGAAATCCTCAAAGCCATCCGAATATCCACTTTCTGATTCCACAAAAAGATTGTTTTAAAACTGCTCTGTAAAAACAAAAGTTCAAGTCTGTTAGTTGAATACACACATCACAAACAAGTTTCTGAGAATGCTTCTGTCTAGTTTTTATGGGAAGATATTTCCTTTTTCACCATAGGCCTCAAAGCGCTCGAAATGTCCACTTCCAGATAGTGCCGAAAGAGTGTTTCAAACGTGCTCTATAAAAGGGAATATTCAACTCTGTGACTTGAATGGAAACATCACAAAGCAGTTTCTGAGAATGCCTCCGTCTAGATTTTATATGAAGATATTCCCGTTTCCAACGAAATCTTCAAAGCTATCTAAATATCAACTTGCAGATTCTACTAAAGGAATGTTTCCAAAATGCTGTATCCAAGCAATGGTTCAACTCTGTTAATTGAGGACATACAGCACAAAGAAGTTTCTGAGAATGCTTCTGTCTAGATTTTATATGAAGATATCCCGTTTCCAACGAAATCCTCAAAGCTATCCAAATATCCACTTGCAGATTCTACAAAAAGATTGTTTCAAAACTGCTGTGTCAAAAGGAAGGTTCAACTCTGTTACTTGAGTACACACATCAAAAAGCAGTTTCTGAGAATGCTTGTTTCTGGTTTTTATGAGAAGATATTTCCTTTTTCACCATAGGCCTCAAAGCGCTGCAAATGTCCACTTCCAAATATTACAAAAAGAGTGTTTCAAACCTGCTCTATGAAAGGAAGTTTTCAACTCTGTGAGTGGAATGCAAACATCACAGAGAAGTTTCTGAGAATGCATCTGTCTTGAGTTTATATGAAGAAATTCCCGTTTCCAATGAAATCTTAAAATCTATCCAAATATCCACCTGCAGATTCTACAAAAGGAGTGTTTCCAAAATGCTGTATCAAAACAAAGGTTCAACTGTGTTCGTTTAGGACACACATCACAAATAAGTTTCTGAGAATCCTTCTGTCTAGTTTTTATTTCAAGATATTTCCTTTCTCCCCACAGGCTTGAAAGCGCTTGAAATGTCCACTTCCAGATACTACAGAGTGTTTCAAACCTGCACTATGAAAAGGAATGTTCAATTCTGTGACTTGAATGCAAACATCAGAAAGAAGTTCCTGAGAATGCTTCTCTCTAGATTTTAAACGTAATCCCGTTTCCAACGAAATCCACAAAGCTATCCAATTATCCACTTTCAGATTCCACCAAAAGACTGTTTTAAAACTGCTCTGTAAAAAGAAATGTTCAACGCTCTTAGTTGAATACACACATCTCAAACAAGTTTCTGAGAAGGCTTCCGTCTAGTTTTTACGGGAAGATATTTCCTTTTTCACCATAGGCCTCAAAGCGCTCGAAATCTCCACTTCCAGGGAGTGCAGAAAGAGTGTTTCAAACCTGCTCTGTAAAAGAATATTTAACTCTGTGACTTGAATGCAAACATCACAGAGCAGTTTCTGACAATGCTTCCGTCTAGATTTTTTATGAAGATATTCCCGTTTCCAACGAAATCTTCAAAGCTATCTAAATATCAACTTGCAGATTCTACTAAAGGAATGTTTCCAAAATGCTGTATCCAAACAAAGGTTCAACTCTGTGAATTGAGGACATACAGCACAAAGAAGTTTCTGAGAATGCTCCTGTCTGGATTTTATAGGAAGATAACCCGTTCCCAACGAAATCCTCAAAGCTATCCAAATATCCACTTGCAGATTCTACCAAAAGAGTGTTTCAAAACTACTCTGTCAAAAGGAAGGTTCAACACTGTTACTTGAGTACACACAACACAAAGAAGTTTCTGAGAATGCTTCTTTCTGGTTTTTATGAGAAGATATTTCCTTTTTCACCATAGGCCTCAAAGCGCTCGAAATGTCCGCTTCCAGGTAGTGCAGAAAGAGTGTTTCAAACCTGCTCTATGAAAGGAAGTGTTCAACTCTACTGAGTTGAATGCAAACATCACAGAGATGTTTCCGAGAATGCTTCTGTCTTGATTTTATATGAAGATATTCCGGTTTCCAACGAAATCTTCAAAGCTATCCAAATATCCACCTGCAGATTCTACAAAAGGAGTGTTTCCAAAATGCTGTATCAAAACAAAGGTTCAACTCTGTTAGTTGAGGACACACATCACAAATAAGTTTCTGAGAATGCTTCTGTCTAGTTTTTATTTGAAGGTATTTCCTTTCTCTCCATAGGCCTGAAAGCGCTTGAAATGCCCACTTCCAGATACTAGAGAAAGAGTGTTTCAAACCTGCTCTATGAAAGGGAATGTTCAATTCTGTGACTTGAATGCAAACATCACAAAGAAGTTCCTGAGAATGCTTCTCTCTAGATATTATATGTCATCCCGTTTCCAACGAAATCCTCAAAGCTATCCAAATATCCACTTGCAGATTCTACAAAAAGAGTGTTTCAAAACTGCTCTGTCAAAAGGATGGTTCAACACTGTTACATGAGTACACACAACACAAAGAAGTTTCTGAGAATGCTTCTTTCTGGTTTCTATGAGAAGATATTTCCTTTTTCACCATAGGACTCAAAGCGCTCGAAATGTCCTCTTCCAGGTAGTGCAGAAAGAGTGTTTCAAACCGGCTCTATGAAAGGAAGTGTTCAACTCCATGAACTGAATGCAAACATCACTGAGAAGTTTCTGAGAATGCTTCTGTTTGATTTTATATGAAGAAATTCCCGTTTCCAACGAAATCTTCAGAGCTATCCACATATCCACCTGCAGATTCTACAAAAGGAGTGTTTCCAAAATGCTGTATCAAAACCAAAGTTCAACTCTGTTAGTTGAGGACACACATCACAAATAAGTTTCTGAGAATGCTTTCTGTCTAGGATTTTATATGAAGATATCCCCTTTCCAACGAATCCCTCTAAGCTATCCAAATATCCACCTGCAGATTCTACAAAAAGAGTGTTTCCAAAATGCTGTATCAAAACAAAGTTTCAACTCTGTTAGTTGAGGACACACATCACAAATAAGTTTGAGGATGCTTCTGTCTAGTTTTTATTCGAAGATATTTCCTTTCTCACCATAGGCCTGAAAGCGCTTGAAATGTCCACTTCCAGATACTACAGAATGAGTGTTTCAAACCTGCTCTATCAAAGTGAATGTTCAATTCTGTGACTTCAATGCAAACATCAGAAAGAAGTTTCTGAGAATGCTTCTCTCTAGATTTTATACGTAATCCCGCTTCCAACGAAATCCTCAGAGCCATCCGAATATCCACTTTCTGATTCCACAAAAAGAGTGTTTTAAAACGGCTCTGTAAAAACAAAAGTTCAACTCTGTTAGTTGAATACACACATCACAAACAAGTTTCTGAGAATGCTTCTGTCTAGTTTTTATGGGAAGATATTTCCTTTTTCACCATAGGCCTCAAAGCGCTCGAAATGTCCACTTCCAGATAGTGCAGAAAGAGTGTTTCAAACGTGCTCTATAAAAGGGAATATTCAACTCTGTGACTTGAATGGAAACATCACAAAGCAGTTTCTGAGAATGCTTCCCTCTAGATTTTATATGGAGATATTCCCTTTTCCAACGAAATCTTCAAATCTATCTAAATATCAACTTGCAGATTCTACTCAAGGAATGTTTCCAAAATGCTGTATCCAAGCAATGGTTCAACTCTGTTAATTGAGGACATACAGCACAAAGAAGTTTCTGAGAATGCTTCTGTCTAGATTTTATATGAAGATATCCCGTTTCCAACGAAATCCTCAAAGCTATCCAAATATCCACTTGCAGATTCTACAAAAAGATTGTTTCAAAACTGCTGTGTCAAAAGGAAGGTTCAACTCTGTTACTTGAGTACACACATCAAAAAGAAGTTTCTGAGAATGCTTGTTTCTGGTTTTTATGAGAAGATATTTCCTTTTTCACCATAGGCCTCAAAGCGCTGCAAATGTCCACTTCCAAATATTACAAAAAGAGTGTTTCAAACCTGCTCTATGAAAGGAAGTTTTCAACTCTATGAGTGGAATGCAAACATCACAGAGAAGTTTCTGAGAATGCATCTGTCTTGAGCTTCTATGAAGAAATTCCCGTTTCCAACGAAATCTTAAAATCTATCCAAATATCCACCTGCAGATCCTACAAAAGGAGTGTTTCCAAAATGCTGTATCAAAACAAAGGTTCAACTGTGTTCGTTTAGGACACACATCACAAATAAGTTTCTGAGAATCCTTCTGTCTAGTTTTTATTTGAAGATATTTCCTTTCTCCCCGTAGGCCTGAAAGCGCTTGAAATGTCCACTTCCAGATACTACAGAAAGAGTGTTTCAAACCTGCACTCTGAAAAGGAATGTTCAATTCTGTGACTTGAATGCAAACATCAGAAAGAAGTTCCTGAGAATGCTTCTCTCTAGATTTTATACGTCATCCCGTTTCCAACGAAATCCACAAAGCTATCCAATTATCCACTTTCAGATTCCACAAAGAGTGTTTTAAAATTGCTCTGTAACAGAAATGTTCAACTCTGTTAGTTGAATACACACATCACAAACAAGTTTCTGAGACGGCTTCTGTCTAGTTTTTATGGGAAGATATTTCCTTTTAACCATAGGCCTCAAAGAGCTCGAAATATCCACTTCCAGGTAGTGCCGAAAGAGTGTTTCAAACCTACTCTATAAAAGGGAATATTCAACTCTGTGACTTGAATGCAAACATCACAAAGCAGTTTCTGAGAATGCTTCCGTCTAGATTTTCTATGAAGATATTCCCGTTTCCAACGAAATCTTCAAAGCTATCTAAATATCAACTTGCAGATTCTACTAAAGGAATGTCTCCAAAATGCTGTATCCAAACAAAGGTTCAGCTGCTGTGAATTGAGGACATACAGCACAAAGAAGTTTCTGAGAATGCTCCTGTCTGGATTTTATATGAAGATAACCCGTTTCCAACGAAATCCTCAAAGCTCTCCAAATATCCACTTGCAGATTCTACCAAAAGAGTGTTTCAAAACTGCTCTGTCAAAAGGAAGGTTCAACACTGTTACTTGAGTACACACAACACAAAGAAGTTTCTGAGAATGCTTCTTTCTGGTTTTTATGAGAAGATATTTCCTTTTTCACCATAGGCCTCAAAGCGCTCGAAATGTCCGCTTCCAGGTAGTGCAGAAAGAGTGTTTCAAACCTGCTCTATGAAAGGAAGTGTTCAACTCTACTGAGTTGAATGCAAACATCACAGAGATGTTTCCGAGAATGCTTCTGTCTTGATTTTATATGAAGATATTCCGGTTTCCAACGAAATCTTCAAAGCTATCCAAATATCCACCTGCAGATTCTACAAAAGGAGTGTTTCCAAAATGCTGTATCAAAACAAAGGTTCAACTCTGTTAGTTGAGGACACACATCACAAATAAGTTTCTGAGAATGCTTCTGTCTAGTTTTTATTTGAAGGTATTTCCTTTCTCTCCATAGGCCTGAAAGCGCTTGAAATGCCCACTTCCAGATACTAGAGAAAGAGTGTTTCAAACCTGCTCTATGAAAGGGAATGTTCAATTCTGTGACTTGAATGCAAACATCACAAAGAAGTTCCTGAGAATGCTTCTCTCTAGATATTATATGTCATCCCGTTTCCAACGAAATCCTCAAAGCTATCCAAATATCCACTTGCAGATTCTACAAAAAGAGTGTTTCAAAACTGCTCTGTCAAAAGGATGGTTCAACACTGTTACATGAGTACACACAACACAAAGAAGTTTCTGAGAATGCTTCTTTCTGGTTTCTATGAGAAGATATTTCCTTTTTCACCATAGGCCTCAAAGCGCTCGAAATGTCCTCTTCCAGGTAGTGCAGAAAGAGTGTTTCAAACCGGCTCTATGAAAGGAAGTGTTCAACTCCATGAGCTGAATGCAAACATCACTGAGAAGTTTCTGAGAATGCTTCTGTTTGATTTTATATGAAGAAATTCCCGTTTCCAACGAAATCTTCGAAGCTATCCACATATCCACCTGCAGATTCTACAAAAGGAGTGTTTCCAAAATGCTGTATCAAAACCAAGGTTCAACTCTGTTAGTTGAGGACACACATCACAAATAAGTTTCTGAGAATGCTTCTGTCTAGATTCTATATGAAGATATCCCCTTTCCAACGAATCCCTCTAAGCTATCCAAATATCCACCTGCAGATTCTACAAAAAGAGTGTTTCCAAAATGCTGTATCAAAACAAAGTTTCAACTCTGTTAGTTGAGGACACACATCACAAATAAGTTTGAGGATGCTTCTGTCTAGTTTTTATTCGAAGATATTTCCTTTCTCACCATAGGCCTGAAAGCGCTTGAAATGTCCACTTCCAGATACTACAGAATGAGTGTTTCAAACCTGCTCTATCAAAGTGAATGTTCAATTCTGTGACTTCAATGCAAACATCACAAAGAAGTTCCTGAGAATGCTTCTCTCTAGATTTTATACGTAATCCCGCTTCCAACGAAATCCTCAGAGCCATCCGAATATCCACTTTCTGATTCCACAAAAAGAGTGTTTTAAAACGGCTCTGTAAAAACAAAAGTTCAACTCTGTTAGTTGAATACACACATCACAAACAAGTTTCTGAGAATGCTTCTGTCTAGTTTTTATGGGAAGATATTTCCTTTTTCACCATAGGCCTCAAAGCGCTCGAAATGTCCGCTTCCAGATAGTGCAGAAAGAGTGTTTCAAACGTGCTCTATAAAAGGGAATATTCAACTCTGTGACTTGAATGGAAACATCACAAAGCAGTTTCTGAGAATGCTTCCCTCTAGATTTTATATGGAGATATTCCCTTTTCCAACGAAATCTTCAAATCTATCTAAATATCAACTTGCAGATTCTACTCAAGGAATGTTTCCAAAATGCTGTATCCAGGCAATGGTTCAACTCTGTTAATTGAGGACATACAGCACAAAGAAGTTTCTGAGAATGCTTCTGTCTAGATTTTATATGAAGATATCCCGTTTCCAACGAAATCCTCAAAGCTATCCAAATATCCACTTGCAGATTCTACAAAAAGATTGTTTCAAAACTGCTGTGTCAAGAGGAAGGTTCAACTCTGTTACTTGAGTACACACATCAAAAAGAAGTTTCTGAGAATGCTTGTTTCTGGTTTTTATGAGAAGATATTTCCTTTTTCACCATAGGCCTCAAAGCGCTGCAAATGTCCACTTCCAAATATTACAAAAAGAGTGTTTCAAACCTGCTCTATGAAAGGAAGTTTTCAACTCTATGAGTGGAATGCAAACATCACAGAGAAGTTTCTGAGAATGCATCTGTCTTGAGCTTCTATGAAGAAATTCCCGTTTCCAACGAAATCTTAAAATCTATCCAAATATCCACCTGCAGATCCTACAAAAGGAGTGTTTCCAAAATGCTGTATCAAAACAAAGGTTCAACTGTGTTCGTTTAGGACACACATCACAAATAAGTTTCTGAGAATCCTTCTGTCTAGTTTTTATTTGAAGATATTTCCTTTCTCCCCGTAGGCCTGAAAGCGCTTGAAATGTCCACTTCCAGATACTACAGAAAGAGTGTGTTTCAAACCTGCACTCTGAAAAGGAATGTTCAATTCTGTGACTTGAATGCAAACATCAGAAAGAAGTTCCTGAGAATGCTTCTCTCTAGATTTTATACGTCATCCCGTTTCCAACGAAATCCACAAAGCTATCCAATTATCCACTTTCAGATTCCACAAAAAGAGTGTTTTAAAATTGCTCTGTAACAGAAATGTTCAACTCTGGTAGTTGAATACACACATCACAAACAAGTTTCTGAGACGGCTTCTGTCTAGTTTTTATGGGAAGATATTTCCTTTTAACCATAGGCCTCAAAGAGCTCGAAATATCCACTTCCAGGTAGTGCCGAAAGAGTGTTTCAAACCTACTCTATAAAAGGGAATATTCAACTCTGTGACTTGAATGCAAACATCACAAAGCAGTTTCTGAGAATGCTTCCGTCTAGATTTTCTATGAAGATATTCCCGTTTCCAACGAAATCTTCAAAGCTATCTAAATATCAACTTGCAGATTCTACTAAAGGAATGTCTCCAAAATGCTGTATCCAAACAAAGGTTCAGCTCTGTGAATTGAGGACATACAGCACAAAGAAGTTTCTGAGAATGCTCCTGTCTGGATTTTATAGGAAGATAACCCGTTTCCAACGAAATCCTCAAAGCTATCCAAATATCCACTTGCAGATTCTACCAAAAGAGTGTTTCAAAACTGCTCTGTCAAAAGGAAGGTTCAACACTGTTACTTGAGTACACACAACACAAAGAAGTTTCTGAGAATGCTTCTTTCTGGTTTTTATGAGAAGATATTTCCTTTTTCACCATAGGCCTCAAAGCGCTCGAAATGTCCGCTTCCAGGTAGTGCAGAAAGAGTGTTTCAAACCTGCTCTATGAAAGGAAGTGTTCAACTCTACTGAGTTGAATGCAAACATCACAGAGATGTTTCCGAGAATGCTTCTGTCTTGATTTTATAGGAAGATATTCCGGTTTCCAACGAAATCTTCAAAGCTATCCACATATCCACCTGCAGATTCTACAAAAGGAGTGTTTCCAAAATGCTGTATCAAAACAAAGGTTCAACTCTGTTAGTTGAGGACACACATCACAAATAAGTTTCTGAGAATGCTTCTGTCTAGTTTTTATTTGAAGGTATTTCCTTTCTCTCCATAGGCCTGAAAGCGCTTGAAATGCCCACTTCCAGATACTAGAGAAAGAGTGTTTCAAACCTGCTCTATGAAAGGGAATGTTCAATTCTGTGACTTGAATGCAAACATCACAAAGAAGTTCCTGAGAATGCTTCTCTCTAGATATTATATGTCATCCCGTTTCCAACGAAATCCTCAAAGCTATCCAAATATCCACTTGCAGATTCTACAAAAAGAGTGTTTCAAAACTGCTCTGTCAAAAGGATGGTTCAACACTGTTACATGAGTACACACAACACAAAGAAGTTTCTGAGAATGCTTCTTTCTGGTTTCTATGAGAAGATATTTCCTTTTTCACCATAGGACTCAAAGCGCTCGAAATGTCCTCTTCCAGGTAGTGCAGAAAGAGTGTTTCAAACCGGCTCTATGAAGGGAAGTGTTCAACTGCATGAACTGAATGCAAACATCACTGAGAAGTTTCTGAGAATGCTTCTGTTTGATTTTATATGAAGAAATTCCCGTTTCCAACGAAATCTTCAGAGCTATCCACATATCCACCTGCAGATTCTACAAAAGGAGTGTTTCCAAAATGCTGTATCAAAACCAAGGTTCAACTCTGTTAGTTGAGGACACACATCACAAATAAGTTTCTGAGAATGCTTCTGTCTAGATTTTATATGAAGATATCCCCTTTCCAACGAATCCCTCTAAGCTATCCAAATATCCACCTGCAGATTCTACAAAAAGAGTGTTTCCAAACTGCTGTATCAAAACAAAGTTTCAACTCTGTTAGTTGAGGACACACATCACAAATAAGTTTCTGAGGATGCTTCTGTCTAGTTTTTATTCGAAGATATTTCCTTTCTCACCATAGGCCTGAAAGCGCTTGAAATGTCCACTTCCAGATCCTACAGAATGAGTGTTTCAAACCTGCTCTATCAAAGTGAATGTTCAATTCTGTGACTTCAATGCAAACATCACAAAGAAGTTCCTGAGAATGCTTCTCTCTAGATTTTATATGTAATCCCGCTTCCAACGAAATCCTCAGAGCCATCCGAATATCCACTTTCTGATTCCACAAAAAGAGTGTTTTAAAACGGCTCTGTAAAAACAAAAGTTCAACTCTGTTAGTTGAATACACACATCACAAACAAGTTTCTGAGAATGCTTCTGTCTAGTTTTTATGGGAAGATATTTCCTTTTTCACCATAGGCCTCAAAGCGCTCGAAATGTCCACTTCCAGATAGTGCAGAAAGAGTGTTTCAAACGTGCTCTATAAAAGGGAATATTCAACTCTGTGACTTGAATGGAAACATCACAAAGCAGTTTCTGAGAATGCTTCCCTCTAGATTTTATATGGAGATATTCCCTTTTCCAACGAAATCTTCAAATCTATCTAAATATCAACTTGCAGATTCTACTCAAGGAATGTTTCCAAAATGCTGTATCCAAGCAATGGTTCAACTCTGTTAATTGAGGACATACAGCACAAAGAAGTTTCTGAGAATGCTTCTGTCTAGATTTTATATGAAGATATCCCGTTTCCAACGAAATCCTCAAAGCTATCCAAATATCCACTTGCAGATTCTACAAAAAGATTGTTTCAAAACTGCTGTGTCAAAAGGAAGGTTCAACTCTGTTACTTGAGTACACACATCAAAAAGAAGTTTCTGAGAATGCTTGTTTCTGGTTTTTATGAGAAGATATTTCCTTTTTCACCATAGGCCTCAAAGCGCTGCAAATGTCCACTTCCAAATATTACAAAAAGAGTGTTTCAAACCTGCTCTATGAAAGGAAGTTTTCAACTCTATGAGTGGAATGCAAACATCACAGAGAAGTTTCTGAGAATGCATCTGTCTTGAGCTTCTATGAAGAAATTCCCGTTTCCAACGAAATCTTAAAATCTATCCAAATATCCACCTGCAGATCCTACAAAAGGAGTGTTTCCAAAATGCTGTATCAAAACAAAGGTTCAACTGTGTTCGTTTAGGACACACATCACAAATAAGTTTCTGAGAATCCTTCTGTCTAGTTTTTATTTGAAGATATTTCCTTTCTCCCCGTAGGCCTGAAAGCGCTTGAAATGTCCACTTCCAGATACTACAGAAAGAGTGTTTCAAACCTGCACTCTGAAAAGGAATGTTCAATTCTGTGACTTGAATGCAAACATCAGAAAGAAGTTCCTGAGAATGCTTCTCTCTAGATTTTATACGTCATCCCGTTTCCAACGAAATCCACAAAGCTATCCAATTATCCACTTTCAGATTCCACAAAGAGTGTTTTAAAATTGCTCTGTAACAGAAATGTTCAACTCTGTTAGTTGAATACACACATCACAAACAAGTTTCTGAGACGGCTTCTGTCTAGTTTTTATGGGAAGATATTTCCTTTTAACCATAGGCCTCAAAGAGCTCGAAATATCCACTTCCAGGTAGTGCCGAAAGAGTGTTTCAAACCTACTCTATAAAAGGGAATATTCAACTCTGTGACTTGAATGCAAACATCACAAAGCAGTTTCTGAGAATGCTTCCGTCTAGATTTTCTATGAAGATATTCCCGTTTCCAACGAAATCTTCAAAGCTATCTAAATATCAACTTGCAGATTCTACTAAAGGAATGTCTCCAAAATGCTGTATCCAAACAAAGGTTCAGCTCTGTGAATTGAGGACATACAGCACAAAGAAGTTTCTGAGAATGCTCCTGTCTGGATTTTATAGGAAGATAACCCGTTTCCAACGAAATCCTCAAAGCTATCCAAATATCCACTTGCAGATTCTACCAAAAGAGTGTTTCAAAACTGCTCTGTCAAAAGGAAGGTTCAACACTGTTACTTGAGTACACACAACACAAAGAAGTTTCTGAGAATGCTTCTTTCTGGTTTTTATGAGAAGATATTTCCTTTTTCACCATAGGCCTCAAAGCGCTCGAAATGTCCGCTTCCAGGTAGTGCAGAAAGAGTGTTTCAAACCTGCTCTATGAAAGGAAGTGTTCAACTCTACTGAGTTGAATGCAAACATCACAGAGATGTTTCCGAGAATGCTTCTGTCTTGATTTTATATGAAGCATATTCCGGTTTCCAACGAAATCTTCAAAGCTATCCAAATATCCACCTGCAGATTCTACAAAAGGAGTGTTTCCAAAATGCTGTATCAAAACAAAGGTTCAACTCTGTTAGTTGAGGACACACATCACAAATAAGTTTCTGAGAATGCTTCTGTCTAGTTTTTATTTGAAGGTATTTCCTTTCTCTCCATAGGCCTGAAAGCGCTTGAAATGCCCACTTCCAGATACTAGAGAAAGAGTGTTTCAAACCTGCTCTATGAAAGGGAATGTTCAATTCTGTGACTTGAATGCAAACATCACAAAGAAGTTCCTGAGAATGCTTCTCTCTAGATATTATATGTCATCCCGTTTCCAACGAAATCCTCAAAGCTATCCAAATATCCACTTGCAGATTCTACAAAAAGAGTGTTTCAAAACTGCTCTGTCAAAAGGATGGTTCAACACTGTTACATGAGTACACACAACACAAAGAAGTTTCTGAGAATGCTTCTTTCTGGTTTCTATGAGAAGATATTTCCTTTTTCACCATAGGACTCAAAGCGCTCGAAATGTCCTCTTCCAGGTAGTGCAGAAAGAATGTTTCAAACCTGCTCTATGAAAGGAAGTGTTCAACTCCATGAGCTGAATGCAAACATCACTGAGAAGTTTCTAAGAATGCTTCTGTTTGATTTTATATGAAGAAATTCCCGTTTCCAACGAAATCTTCAAAGCTATCCACATATCCACCTGCAGATTCTACAAAAGAAGTGTTTCCAAAATGCTGTATCAAAACCAAGGTTCAACTCTGTTAGTTGAGGACACACATCACAAATAAGTTTCTGAGAATGCTTCTGTCTAGATTTTATATGAAGATATCCCCTTTCCAACGAATCCCTCTAAGCTATCAAAATATCCACCTGCAGATTCTACAAAAAGAGTGTTTCCAAAATGCTGTATCAAAACAAAGTTTCAACTCTGTTAGTTGAGGACACACATCACAAATAAGTTTCTGAGGATGCTTCTGTCTAGTTTTTATTCGAAGATATTTCCTTTCTCACCATAGGCCTGAAAGCGCTTGAAATGTCCACTTCCAGATACTACAGAATGAGTGTTTCAAACCTGCTCTATCAAAGTGAATGTTCAATTCTGTGACTTCAATGCAAACATCACAAAGAAGTTCCTGAGAATGCTTCTCTCTAGATTTTATACGTAATCCCGCTTCCAACGAAATCCTCAGAGCCATCCGAATATCCACTTTCTGATTCCACAAAAAGAGTGTTTTAAAACGGCTCTGTAAAAACAAAAGTTCAACTCTGTTAGTTGAATACACACATCACAAACAAGTTTCTGAGAATGCTTCTGTCTAGTTTTTATGGGAAGATATTTCCTTTTTCACCATAGGCCTCAAAGCGCTCGAAATGTCCGCTTCCAGATAGTGCAGAAAGAGTGTTTCAAACGTGCTCTATAAAAGGGAATATTCAACTCTGTGACTTGAATGGAAACATCACAAAGCAGTTTCTGAGAATGCTTCCCTCTAGATTTTATATGGAGATATTCCCTTTTCCAACGAAATCTTCAAATCTATCTAAATATCAACTTGCAGATTCTACTCAAGGAATGTTTCCAAAATGCTGTATCCAGGCAATGGTTCAACTCTGTTAATTGAGGACATACAGCACAAAGAAGTTTCTGAGAATGCTTCTGTCTAGATTTTATATGAAGATATCCCGTTTCCAACGAAATCCTCAAAGCTATCCAAATATCCACTTGCAGATTCTACAAAAAGATTGTTTCGAAACTGCTGTGTCAAGAGGAAGGTTCAACTCTGTTACTTGAGTACACACATCAAAAAGAAGTTTCTGAGAATGCTTGTTTCTGGTTTTTATGAGAAGATATTTCCTTTTTCACCATAGGCCTCAAAGCGCTGCAAATGTCCACTTCCAAATATTACAAAAAGAGTGTTTCAAACCTGCTCTATGAAAGGAAGTTTTCAACTCTATGAGTGGAATGCAAACATCACAGAGAAGTTTCTGAGAATGCATCTGTCTTGAGCTTCTATGAAGAAATTCCCGTTTCCAACGAAATCTTAAAATCTATCCAAATATCCACCTGCAGATCCTACAAAAGGAGTGTTTCCAAAATGCTGTATCAAAACAAAGGTTCAACTGTGTTCGTTTAGGACACACATCACAAATAAGTTTCTGAGAATCCTTCTCTCTAGTTTTTATTTGAAGATATTTCCTTTCTCCCCGTAGGCCTGAAAGCGCTTGAAATGTCCACTTCCAGATACTACAGAAAGAGTGTTTCAAACCTGCACTCTGAAAAGGAATGTTCAATTCTGTGACTTGAATGCAAACATCAGAAAGAAGTTCCTGAGAATGCTTCTCTCTAGATTTTATACGTCATCCCGTTTCCAACGAAATCCACAAAGCTATCCAATTATCCACTTTCAGATTCCACAAAAAGAGTGTTTTAAATTGCTCTGTAACAGAAATGTTCAACTCTGTTAGTTGAATACACACATCACAAACAAGTTTCTGAGACGGCTTCTGTCTAGTTTTTATGGGAAGATATTTCCTTTTAACCATAGGCCTCAAAGAGCTCGAAATATCCACTTCCAGGTAGTGCCGAAAGAGTGTTTCAAACCTACTCTATAAAAGGGAATATTCAACTCTGTGACTTGAATGCAAACATCACAAAGCAGTTTCTGAGAATGCTTCCGTCTAGATTTTCTATGAAGATATTCCCGTTTCCAACGAAATCTTCAAAGCTATCTAAATATCAACTTGCAGATTCTACTAAAGGAATGTCTCCAAAATGCTGTATCCAAACAAAGGTTCAGCTCTGTGAATTGAGGACATACAGCACAAAGAAGTTTCTGAGAATGCTCCTGTCTGGATTTTATAGGAAGATAACCCGTTTCCAACGAAATCCTCAAAGCTATCCAAATATCCACTTGCAGATTCTACCAAAAGAGTGTTTCAAAACTGCTCTGTCAAAAGGAAGGTTCAACACTGTTACTTGAGTACACACAACACAAAGAAGTTTCTGAGAATGCTTCTTTCTGGTTTTTATGAGAAGATATTTCCTTTTTCACCATAGGCCTCAAAGCGCTCGAAATGTCCGCTTCCAGGTAGTGCAGAAAGAGTGTTTCAAACCTGCTCTATGAAAGGAAGTGTTCAACTCTACTGAGTTGAATGCAAACATCACAGAGATGTTTCCGAGAATGCTTCTGTCTTGATTTTATATGAAGATATTCCGGTTTCCAACGAAATCTTCAAAGCTATCCAAATATCCACCTGCAGATTCTACAAAAGAAGTGTTTCCAAAATGCTGTATCAAAACAAAGGTTCAACTCTGTTAGTTGAGGACACACATCACAAATAAGTTTCTGAGAATGCTTCTGTCTAGTTTTTATTTGAAGGTATTCCCTTTCTCTCCATAGGCCTGAAAGCGCTTGAAATGCCCACTTCCAGATACTAGAGAAAGAGTGTTTCAAACCTGCTCTATGAAAGGGAATGTTCAATTCTGTGACTTGAATGCAAACATCACAAAGAAGTTCCTGAGAATGCTTCTCTCTAGATATTATATGTCATCCCGTTTCCAACAAAATCCTCAAAGCTATCCAAATATCCACTTGCAGATTCTACAAAAAGAGTGTTTCAAAACTGCTCTGTCAAAAGGATGGTTCAACACTGTTACATGAGTACACACAACACAAAGAAGTTTCTGAGAATGCTTCTTTCTGGTTTCTATGAGAAGATATTTCCTTTTTCACCATAGGACTCAAAGCGCTCGAAATGTCCTCTTCCAGGTAGTGCAGAAAGAGTGTTTCAAACCTGCTCTATGAAAGGAAGTGTTCAACTCCATGAGCTGAATGCAAACATCACTGAGAAGTTTCTGAGAATGCTTCTGTTTGATTTTATATGAAGAAATTCCCGTTTCCAACGAAATCTTCAGAGCTATCCACATATCCACCTGCAGATTCTACAAAAGGAGTGTTTCCAAAATGCTGTATCAAAACCAAGGTTCAACTCTGTTAGTTGAGGACACACATCACAAATAAGTTTCTGAGAATGCTTCTGTCTAGATTTTATATGAAGATATCCCCTTTCCAACGAATCCCTCTAAGCTATCCAAATATCCACCTGCAGATTCTACAAAGAGTGTTTCCAAAATGCTGTATCAAAACAAAGTTTCAACTCTGTTAGTTGAGGACACACATCACAAATAAGTTTCTGAGGATGCTTCTGTCTAGTTTTTATTTGAAGATATTTCCTTTCTCACCATAGGCCTGAAAGCGCTTGAAATGTCCACTTCCAGATACTACAGAATGAGTGTTTCAAACCTGCTCTATAAAAGTGAATGTTCAATTCTGTGACTTCAATGCAAACATCACAAAGAAGTTCCTGAGAATGCTTCTCTCTAGATTTTATATGTAATCCCGCTTCCAATGAAATCCTCAATGCCATCCGAATATCCACTTTCTGATTCCACAAAAAGAGTGTTTTAAAGCGGCTCTGTAAAAACAAAAGTTCAACTCTGTTAGTTGAATACACACATCACAAACAAGTTTCTGAGAATGCTTCTGTCTAGTTTTTATGGGAAGATATTTCCTTTTTCACCATAGGCCTCAAAGCGCTCGAAATGTCCACTTCCAGATAGTGCCGAAAGAGTGTTTCAAACGTGCTCTATAAAAGGGAATATTCAACTCCTGTGACTTGAATGGAAACATCACAAAGCAGTTTCTGAGAATGCCTCCCTCTAGATTTTATATGGAGATATTCCCTTTTCCAACGAAATCTTCAAATCTATCTAAATATCAACTTGCAGATTCTACTCAAGGAATGTTTCCAAAATGCTGTATCCAGGCAATGGTTCAACTCTGTTAATTGAGGACATACAGCACAAAGAAGTTTCTGAGAATGCTTCTGTCTAGATTTTATATGAAGATATCCCGTTTCCAACGAAATCCTCAAAGCTATCCAAATATCCACTTGCAGATTCTACAAAAAGATTGTTTCAAAACTGCTGTGTCAAGAGGAAGGTTCAACTCTGTTACTTGAGTACACACATCAAAAAGAAGTTTCTGAGAATGCTTGTTTCTGGTTTTTATGAGAAGATATTTCCTTTTTCACCATAGGCCTCAAAGCGCTGCAAATGTCCACTTCCAAATATTACAAAAAGAGTGTTTCAAACCTGCTCTATGAAAGGAAGTTTTCAACTCTATGAGTGGAATGCAAACATCACAGAGAAGTTTCTGAGAATGCATCTGTCTTGAGCTTCTATGAAGAAATTCCCGTTTCCAACGAAATCTTAAAATCTATCCAAATATCCACCTGCAGATCCTACAAAAGGAGTGTTTCCAAAATGCTGTATCAAAACAAAGGTTCAACTGTGTTCGTTTAGGACACACATCACAAATAAGTTTCTGAGAATCCTTCTGTCTAGTTTTTATTTGAAGATATTTCCTTTCTCCCCGTAGGCCTGAAAGCGCTTGAAATGTCCACTTCCAGATACTACAGAAAGAGTGTTTCAAACCTGCACTCTGAAAAGGAATGTTCAATTCTGTGACTTGAATGCAAACATCAGAAAGAAGTTCCTGAGAATGCTTCTCTCTAGATTTTATACGTCATCCCGTTTCCAACGAAATCCACAAAGCTATCCAATTATCCACTTTCAGATTCCACAAAGAGTGTTTTAAAATTGCTCTGTAACAGAAATGTTCAACTCTGTTAGTTGAATACACACATCACAAACAAGTTTCTGAGACGGCTTCTGTCTAGTTTTTATGGGAAGATATTTCCTTTTAACCATAGGCCTCAAAGAGCTCGAAATATCCACTTCCAGGTAGTGCCGAAAGAGTGTTTCAAACCTACTCTATAAAAGGGAATATTCAACTCTGTGACTTGAATGCAAACATCACAAAGCAGTTTCTGAGAATGCTTCCGTCTAGATTTTTTATGAAGATATTCCCGTTTCCAACGAAATCTTCAAAGCTATCTAAATATCAACTTGCAGATTCTACTAAAGGAATGTTTCCAAAATGCTGTATCCAAACAAAGGTTCAACTCTGTGAATTGAGGACATACAGCACAAAGAAGTTTCTGAGAATGCTCCTGTCTGGATTTTATAGGAAGATAACCCGTTTCCAACGAAATCCTCAAAGCTATCCAAATATCCACTTGCAGATTCTACCAAAAGAGTGTTTCAAAACTGCTCTGTCAAAAGGAAGGTTCAACACTGTTACTTGAGTACACACAACACAAAGAAGTTTCTGAGAATGCTTCTTTCTGGTTTTTATGAGAAGATATTTCCTTTTTCACCATAGGCCTCAAAGCGCTCGAAATGTCCGCTTCCAGGTAGTGCAGAAAGAGTGTTTCAAACCTGCTCTATGAAAGGAAGTGTTCAACTCTACTGAGTTGAATGCAAACATCACAGAGATGTTTCCGAGAATGCTTCTGTCTTGATTTTATATGAAGATATTCCGGTTTCCAACGAAATCTTCAAAGCTATCCAAATATCCACCTGCAGATTCTACAAAAGGAGTGTTTCCAAAATGCTGTATCAAAACAAAGGTTCAACTCTGTTAGTTGAGGACACACATCACAAATAAGTTTCTGAGAATGCTTCTGTCTAGTTTTTATTTGAAGGTATTTCCTTTCTCTCCATAGGCCTGAAAGCGCTTGAAATGCCCACTTCCAGATACTAGAGAAAGAGTGTTTCAAACCTGCTCTATGAAAGGGAATGTTCAATTCTGTGACTTGAATGCAAACATCACAAAGAAGTTCCTGAGAATGCTTCTCTCTAGATATTATATGTCATCCCGTTTCCAACGAAATCCTCAAAGCTATCCAAATATCCACTTGCAGATTCTACAAAAAGAGTGTTTCAAAACTGCTCTGTCAAAAGGATGGTTCAACACTGTTACATGAGTACACACAACACAAAGAAGTTTCTGAGAATGCTTCTTTCTGGTTTCTATGAGAAGATATTTCCTTTTTCACCATAGGACTCAAAGCGCTCGAAATGTCCTCTTCCAGGTAGTGCAGAAAGAGTGTTTCAAACCGGCTCTATGAAAGGAAGTGTTCAACTCCATGAACTGAATGCAAACATCACTGAGAAGTTTCTGAGAATGCTTCTGTTTGATTTTATATGAAGAAATTCCCGTTTCCAACGAAATCTTCAGAGCTATCCACATATCCACCTGCAGATTCTACAAAAGGAGTGTTTCCAAAATGCTGTATCAAAACCAAAGTTCAACTCTGTTAGTTGAGGACACACATCACAAATAAGTTTCTGAGAATGCTTCTGTCTAGATTTTATATGAAGATATCCCCTTTCCAACGAATCCCTCTAAGCTATCCAAATATCCACCTGCAGATTCTACAAAAAGAGTGTTTCCAAAATGCTGTATCAAAACAAAGGTTCAACTCTGTTAGTTGAGGACACACATCACAAATAAGTTTGAGGATGCTTCTGTCTAGTTTTTATTCGAAGATATTTCCTTTCTCACCATAGGCCTGAAAGCGCTTGAAATGTCCACTTCCAGATACTACAGAATGAGTGTTTCAAACCTGCTCTATCAAAGTGAATGTTCAATTCTGTGACTTCAATGCAAACATCACAAAGAAGTTCCTGAGAATGCTTCTCTCTAGATTTTATACGTAATCCCGCTTCCAACGAAATCCTCAGAGCCATCCGAATATCCACTTTCTGATTCCACAAAAAGAGTGTTTTAAAACGGCTCTGTAAAAACAAAAGTTCAACTCTGTTAGTTGAATACACACATCACAAACAAGTTTCTGAGAATGCTTCTGTCTAGTTTTTATGGGAAGATATTTCCTTTTTCACCATAGGCCTCAAAGCGCTCGAAATGTCCGCTTCCAGATAGTGCAGAAAGAGTGTTTCAAACGTGCTCTATAAAAGGGAATATTCAACTCTGTGACTTGAATGGAAACATCACAAAGCAGTTTCTGAGAATGCTTCCCTCTAGATTTTATATGGAGATATTCCCTTTTCCAACGAAATCTTCAAATCTATCTAAATATCAACTTGCAGATTCTACTCAAGGAATGTTTCCAAAATGCTGTATCCAGGCAATGGTTCAACTCTGTTAATTGAGGACATACAGCACAAAGAAGTTTCTGAGAATGCTTCTGTCTAGATTTTATATGAAGATATCCCGTTTCCAACGAAATCCTCAAAGCTATCCAAATATCCACTTGCAGATTCTACAAAAAGATTGTTTCAAAACTGCTGTGTCAAGAGGAAGGTTCAACTCTGTTACTTGAGTACACACATCAAAAAGAAGTTTCTGAGAATGCTTGTTTCTGGTTTTTATGAGAAGATATTTCCTTTTTCACCATAGGCCTCAAAGCGCTGCAAATGTCCACTTCCAAATATTACAAAAAGAGTGTTTCAAACCTGCTCTATGAAAGGAAGTTTTCAACTCTATGAGTGGAATGCAAACATCACAGAGAAGTTTCTGAGAATGCATCTGTCTTGAGCTTCTATGAAGAAATTCCCGTTTCCAACGAAATTTTAAAATCTATCCAAATATCCACCTGCAGATCCTACAAAAGGAGTGTTTCCAAAATGCTGTATCAAAACAAAGGTTCAACTGTGTTCGTTTAGGACACACATCACAAATAAGTTTCTGAGAATCCTTCTGTCTAGTTTTTATTTGAAGATATTTCCTTTCTCCCCGTAGGCCTGAAAGCGCTTGAAATGTCCACTTCCAGATACTACAGAAAGAGTGTTTCAAACCTGCACTCTGAAAAGGAATGTTCAATTCTGTGACTTGAATGCAAACATCAGAAAGAAGTTCCTGAAAATGCTTCTCTCTAGATTTTATACGTCATCCCGTTTCCAACGAAATCCACAAAGCTATCCAATTATCCACTTTCAGATTCCACAAAAAGAGTGTTTTAAAATTGCTCTGTAACAGAAATGTTCAACTCTGTTAGTTGAATACACACATCACAAACAAGTTTCTGAGACGGCTTCTGTCTAGTTTTTATGGGAAGATATTTCCTTTTAACCATAGGCCTCAAAGAGCTCGAAATATCCACTTCCAGGTAGTGCCGAAAGAGTGTTTCAAACCTACTCTATAAAAGGGAATATTCAACTCTGTGACTTGAATGCAAACATCACAAAGCAGTTTCTGAGAATGCTTCCGTCTAGATTTTCTATGAAGATATTCCCGTTTCCAACGAAATCTTCAAAGCTATCTAAATATCAACTTGCAGATTCTACTAAAGGAATGTCTCCAAAATGCTGTATCCAAACAAAGGTTCAGCTCTGTGAATTGAGGACATACAGCACAAAGAAGTTTCTGAGAATGCTCCTGTCTGGTATTTTATATGAAGATAACCCGTTTCCAACGAAATCCTCAAAGCTATCCAAATATCCACTTGCAGATTCTACCAAAAGAGTGTTTCAAAACTGCTCTGTCAAAAGGAAGGTTCAACACTGTTACTTGAGTACACACAACACAAAGAAGTTTCTGAGAATGCTTCTTTCTGGTTTTTATGAGAAGATATTTCCTTTTTCACCATAGGCCTCAAAGCGCTCGAAATGTCCGCTTCCAGGTAGTGCAGAAAGAGTGTTTCAAACCTGCTCTATGAAAGGAAGTGTTCAACTCTACTGAGTTGAATGCAAACATCACAGAGATGTTTCCGAGAATGCTTCTGTCTTGATTTTATATGAAGATATTCCGGTTTCCAACGAAATCTTCAAAGCTATCCAAATATCCACCTGCAGATTCTACAAAAGGAGTGTTTCCAAAATGCTGTATCAAAACAAAGGTTCAACTCTGTTAGTTGAGGACACACATCACAAATAAGTTTCTGAGAATGCTTCTGTCTAGTTTTTATTTGAAGGTATTTCCTTTCTCTCCATAGGCCTGAAAGCGCTTGAAATGCCCACTTCCAGATACTAGAGAAAGAGTGTTTCAAACCTGCTCTATGAAAGGGAATGTTCAATTCTGTGACTTGAATGCAAACATCACAAAGAAGTTCCTGAGAATGCTTCTCTCTAGATATTATATGTCATCCCGTTTCCAACGAAATCCTCAAAGCTATCCAAATATCCACTTGCAGATTCTACAAAAAGAGTGTTTCAAAACTCCTCTGTCAAAAGGATGGTTCAACACTGTTACATGAGTACACACAACACAAAGAAGTTTCTGAGAATGCTTCTTTCTGGTTTCTATGAGAAGATATTTCCTTTTTCACCATAGGACTCAAAGCTCTCGAAATGTCCTCTTCCAGGTAGTGCAGAAAGAGTGTTTCAAACCTGCTCTATGAAAGGAAGTGTTCAACTCCATGAGCTGAATGCAAACATCACTGAGAAGTTTCTGAGAATGCTTCTGTTTGATTTTATATGAAGAAATTCCCGTTTCCAACGAAATCTTCAGAGCTATCCACATATCCACCTGCAGATTCTACAAAAGGAGTGTTTCCAAAATGCTGTATCAAAACCAAGGTTCAACTCTGTTAGTTGAGGACACACATCACAAATAAGTTTCTGAGAATGCTTCTGTCTAGATTTTATATGAAGATATCCCCTTTCCAACGACTCCCTCTAAGCTATCCAAATATCCACCTGCAGATTCTACAAAAAGAGTGTTTCCAAAATGCTGTATCAAAACAAAGTTTCAACTCTGTTAGTTGAGGACACACATCACAAATAAGTTTCTGAGGATGCTTCTGTCTAGTTTTTATTCGAAGATATTTCCTTTCTCACCATAGGCCTGAAAGCGCTTGAAATGTCCACTTCCAGATACTACAGAATGAGTGTTTCAAACCTGCTCTATAAAAGTGAATGTTCAATTCCGTGACTTCAATGCAAACATCAGAAAGAAGTTCCTGAGAATGCTTCTCTCTAGATTTTATACGTAATCCCGCTTCCAACGAAATCCTCAGAGCCATCCGAATATCCACTTTCTGATTCCACAAAAAGAGTGTTTTAAAACGGCTCTGTAAAAACAAAAGTTCAACTCTGTTAGTTGAATACACACATCACAAACAAGTTTCTGAGAATGCTTCTGTCTAGTTTTTATGGGAAGATATTTCCTTTTTCACCATAGGCCTCAAAGCGCTCGAAATGTCCGCTTCCAGATAGTGCAGAAAGAGTGTTTCAAACGTGCTCTATAAAAGGGAATATTCAACTCTGTGACTTGAATGGAAACATCACAAAGCAGTTTCTGAGAATGCTTCCCTCTAGATTTTATATGGAGATATTCCCTTTTCCAACGAAATCTTCAAATCTATCTAAATATCAACTTGCAGATTCTACTCAAGGAATGTTTCCAAAATGCTGTATCCAGGCAATGGTTCAACTCTGTTAATTGAGGACATACAGCACAAAGAAGTTTCTGAGAATGCTTCTGTCTAGATTTTATATGAAGATATCCCGTTTCCAACGAAATCATCAAAGCTATCCAAATGTCCACTTGCAGATTCTACAAAAAGATTGTTTCAAAACTGCTGTGTCAAAAGGAAGGTTCAACTCTGATATTTGAGTACACACATCAAAAAGAAGTTTCCTGAGAATGCTTTGTTTCTGGTTTTTATGAGAAGAATATTTCCTTTTTCACCATAGGCCTCAAAGCGCTGCAAATGTCCACTTCCAAATATTACAAAAAGAGTGTTTCAAACGTGCTCTATGAAAGGAAGTTTTCAACTCTATGAGTGGAATGCAAACATCACAGAGAAGTTTCGGAGAATGCATCTGTCTTGAGTTTATATGAAGAAATTCCCGTTTCCAATGAAATCTTAAAATCTATCCAAATATCCACCTGCAGATTCTACAAAAGGAGTGTTTCCAAAATGCTGTATCAAAACAAAGGTTCAACTGTGTTCGTTTAGGACACACATCACAAATAAGTTTCTGAGAATCCTTCTGTCTAGTTTTTATTTCAAGATATTTCCTTTCTCCCCATAGGCTTGAAAGCGCTTGAAATGTCCACTTCCAGATACTACAGAGTGTTTCAAACCTGCACTATGAAAAGGAATGTTCAATTCTGTGACTTGAATGCAAACATCAGAAAGAAGTTCCTGAGAATGCTTCTCTCTAGATTTTAAACGTAATCCCGTTTGCAACGAAATCCACAAAGCTATCCAATTATCCACTTTCAGATTCCACCAAAAGACTGTTTTAAAACTGCTCTGTAAAAAGAAATGTTCAACGCTCTTAGTTGAATACACACATCTCAAACAAGTTTCTGAGAAGGCTTCCGTCTAGTTTTTATGGGAAGATATTTCCTTTTTCACCATAGGCCTCAAAGCGCTCGAAATCTCCACTTCCAGGGAGTGCAGAAAGAGTGTTTCAAACCTGCTCTGTAAAAGAATATTTAACTCTGTGACTTGAATGCAAACATCACAGAGCAGTTTCTGACAATGCTTCCGTCTAGATTTTTTATGAAGATATTCCCGTTTCCAACGAAATCTTCAAAGCTATCTAAATATCAACTTGCAGATTCTACTAAAGGAATGTTTCCAAAATGCTGTATCCAAACAAAGGTTCAACTCTGTGAATTGAGGACATACAGCACAAAGAAGTTTCTGAGAATGCTTCTGTCTAGATTTAATATGAAGATAACCCGTTTCCAACGAAATCCTCAAAGCTATCCAAATATCCACTGGCAGATTCTACAAAAAGATTGTTTCAAAACTGCTCTGTCAAAAGGATGGTTCAACACTGTTACATGAGTACACACAACACAAAGAAGTTTCTGAGAACGCTTCTTTCTGGTTTTTATGAGAAGATATTTCCCTTTTCACCATAGGCCTCAAAGCGCTCGAAATGTCCACTTCCAGGTAGTGCAGAAAGAGTGTTTCAAACCTGCTCTATGAAAGGAAGTGTTCAACTCCATGAGCTGAATGCAAACATCACAGAGAAGTTTCTGAGAATGCTTCTGTTTGATTTTATATGAAGAAATTCCCGTTTCCAACGAAATCTTCAAAGCTATCCACATATCCACCTGCAGATCCTTCAAAAGGAGTGTTTCCAAAATGCTGTATCAAAACCAAGGTTCAACTCTGTTAGTTGAGGACACACATCACAAATAAGTTTCTGAGAATGCTTCTGTCTGGATTTTATATGAAGATATCCCCTTTCCAACGAATCCCTCTAAGCTATCCAAATATCCACCTGCAGATTCTACAAAAAGAGTGTTTCCAAAATGCTGTATCAAAACAAAGTTTCCACTCTGTTAGTTGAGGACACACATCACAAATAAGTTTCTGAGGATGCTTCTGTCTAGTTTTTATTTGAAGATATTTCCTTTCTCACCATAGGCCTGAAAGCGCTTGAAATGTCCACTTCCAGATACTACAGCATGAGTGTTTCAAACCTGCTCTATCATAGTGAATGTTCAATTCTGTGACTTCAATGCAAACATCACAAAGTAGTTCCTGAGAATGCTTCTCTCTAGATTTTATATGTAATCACGCTTCCAACGAAATCCTCAAAGCCATCCGAATATCCACTTTCTGATTCCACAAAAAGATTGTTTTAAAACTGCTCTGTAAAAACAAAAGTTCAAGTCTGTTAGTTGAATACACACATCACAAACAAGTTTCTGAGAATGCTTCTGTCTAGTTTATATGGGAAGATATTTCCTTTTTCACCATAGGCCTCAAAGCGCTCGAAATGTCCACTTCCAGATAGTGCAGAAAGAGTGTTTCAAACGTGCTCTATAAAAGAGAATATTCAACTCTGTGACTTGAATGGAAACATCACAAAGCCGTTTCTGAGAATGCCTCCGTCTAGATTTTATATGAAGATATTCCCGTTTCCAACGAAATCTTCAAATCTATCTAAATATCAACTTGCAGATTCTACTAAAGGAATGTTTCCAAAATGCTGTGTCCAAGCAATGGTTCAACTCTGTTAATTGAGGACATACAGCACAAAGAAGTTTCTGAGAATGCTTCTGTCTAGATTTTATATGAAGATATCCCGTTTCCAACGAAATCCTCAAAGCTATCCAAATATCCACTTGCAGATTCTACAAAAAGATTGTTTCAAAACTGCTGTGTCAAAAGGAAGGTTCAACTCTGTTACTTGAGTACACACATCAAAAAGCAGTTTCTGAGAATGCTTGTTTCTGGTTTTTATGAAAAGATATTTCCTTTTTCACCATAGGCCTCAAAGCGCTGCAAATGTCCACTTCCAAATATTACAAAAAGAGTGTTTCAAACCTGCTCTATGAAAGGAAGTTTTCAACTCTGTGAGTGGAATGCAAACATCACAGAGAAGTTTCTGAGAATGCATCTGTCTTGAGTTTATATGAAGAAATTCCCGTTTCCAATGAAATCTTAAAATCTATCCAAATATCCACCTGCAGATTCTACAAAAGGAGTGTTTCCAAAATGCTGTATCAAAACAAAGGTTCAACTGTGTTCGTTTAGGACACACATCACAAATAAGTTTCTGAGAATCCTTCTGTCTAGTTTTTATTTCAAGATATTTCCTTTCTCCCCATAGGCCTGAAAGCCCTTGAAATGTCCACTTCCAGATACTACAGAGTGTTTCAAACCTGCACTATGAAAAGGAATGTTCAATTCTGTGACTTGAATGCAAACATCAGAAAGAAGTTCCTGAGAATGCTTCTCTCTAGATTTTAAACGTAATCCCGTTTCCAACGAAATCCACAAAGCTATCCAATTATCCACTTTCAGATTCCACCAAAAGAGTGTTTTAAAACTGCTCTGTAAAAAGAAATGTTCAACGCTCTTAGTTGAATACACACATCTCAAACAAGTTTCTGAGAAGGCTTCCGTCTAGTTTTTATGGGAAGATATTTCCTTTTTCACCATAGGCCTCAAAGCGCTCGAAATCTCCACTTCCAGGGAGTGCAGAAAGAGTGTTTCAAACCTGCTCTATAAAAGAATATTTAACTCTGTGACTTGAATGCAAACATCACAGAGCAGTTTCTGACAATGCTTCCGTCTAGATTTTTTATGAAGATATTCCCGTTTCCAACGAAATCTTCAAAGCTATCTAAATATCAACTTGCAGATTCTACTAAAGGAATGTTTCCAAAATGCTGTATCCAAACAAAGGTTCAACTCTGTGAATTGAGGACATACAGCACAAAGAAGTTTCTGAGAATGCTTCTGTCTAGATTTAATATGAAGATAACCCGTTTCCAACGAAATCCTCAAAGCTATCCAAATATCCACTGGCAGATTCTACAAAAAGAGTGTTTCAAAACTGCTCTGTCAAAAGGATGGTTCAACACTGTTACATGAGTACACACAACACAAAGAAGTTTCTGAGAACGCTTCTTTCTGGTTTTTATGAGAGGATATTTCCTTTTTCACCATAGGCCTCAAAGCGCTCGAAATGTCCACTTCCAGGTAGTGCAGAAAGAGTGTTTCAAACCTGCTCTATGAAAGGAAGTGTTCAACTCCATGAGCTGAATGCAAACATCACAGAGAAGTTCCTGAGAATGCTTCTGTTTGATTTTATATGAAGAAATTCCCGTTTCCAACGAAATCTTCAAAGCTATCCACATATCCACCTGCAGATTCTTCAGAAGGAGTGTTTCCAAAATGCTGTATCAAAACCAAGGTTCAACTCTGTTAGTTGAGGACACACATCACAAATAAGTTTCTGAGAATGCTTCTGTCTAGATTTTATATGAAGATATCCCCTTTCCAACGAATCCCTCTAAGCTATCCAAATATCCACCTGCAGATTCTACAAAAAGAGTGTTTCCAAAATGCTGTATCAAAACAAAGTTTCAACTCTGTTAGTTGAGGACACACATCACAAATAAGTTTCTGAGGATGCTTCTGTCTAGTTTTAATTTGAAGATATTTCCTTTCTCACCATAGGCCTGAAAGCGCTTGAAATGTCCACTTCCAGATACTACAGCATGAGTGTTTCAAACCTGCTCTATCATAGTGAATGTTCAATTCTGTGACTTCAATGCAAACATCACAAAGTAGTTCCTGAGAATGCTTCTCTCTAGATTTTATATGTAATCCCGCTTCCAACGAAATCCTCAAAGCCATCCGAATATCCACTTTCTGATTCCACAAAAAGATTGTTTTAAAACTGCTCTGTAAAAACAAAAGTTCAAGTCTGTTAGTTGAATACACACATCACAAACAAGTTTCTGAGAATGCTTCTGTCTAGTTTTTATGGGAAGATATTTCCTTTTTCACCATAGGCCTCAAAGCGCTCGAAATGTCCACTTCCAGATAGTGCAGAAAGAGTGTTTCAAACGTGCTCTAGAAAAGAGAATATTCAACTCTGTGACTTGAATGGAAACATCACAAAGCAGTTTCTGAGAATGCCTCCGTCTAGATTTTATATGAAGATATTCCCGTTTCCAACGAAATCTTCAAATCTATCTAAATATCAACTTGCAGATTCTACTAAAGGAATGTTTCCAAAATGCTGTATCCAAGCAATGGTTCAACTCTGTTAATTGAGGACATACAGCACAAAGAAGTTTCTGAGAATGCTTCTGTCTAGATTTTATATGAAGATATCCCGTTTCCAATGAAATCCTCAAAGCTATCCAAATATCCACTTGCAGATTCTACAAAAAGATTGTTTCAAAACTGCTGTGTCAAAAGGAAGGTTCAACTCTGTTACTTGAGTACACACATCAAAAAGCAGTTTCTGAGAATGCTTGTTTCTGGTTTTTATGAGAAGATATTTCCTTTTTCACCATAGGCCTCAAAGCGCTGCAAATGTCCACTTCCAAATATTACAAAAAGAGTGTTTCAAACCTGCTCTATGAAAGGAAGTTTTCAACTCTGTGAGTGGAATGCAAACATCACAGAGAAGTTTCTGAGAATGCATCTGTCTTGAGTTTATATGAAGAAATTCCCGTTTCCAATGAAATCTTAAAATCTATCCAAATATCCACCTGCAGATTCTACAAAAGAGTGCTTCCAAAATGCTATATCAAAACAAAGGTTCAACTGTGTTCGTTGAGAACACACATCACAAATAAGTTTCTGAGAATACTTCTGTCTAGTTTTTATTTCAAGATATTTCCTTTCTCCCCATAGGCCTGAAAGCGCTTGAAATGTCCACTTCCAGATACTACAGAGTGTTTCAAACCTGCACTATGAAAAGGAATGTTCAATTCTGTGACTTGAATGCAAACATCAGAAAGAAGTTCCTGAGAATGCTTCTCTCTAGATTTTAAACGTAATCCCGTTTCCAACGAAATCCACAAAGCTATCCAATTATCCACTTTCAGATTCCACCAAAAGACTGTTTTAAAACTGCTCTGTAAAAAGAAATGTTCAACGCTCTTAGTTGAATACACACATCTCAAACAAGTTTCTGAGAAGGCTTCCGTCTAGTTTTTACGGGAAGATATTTCCTTTTTCACCATAGGCCTCAAAGCGCTCGAAATCTCCACTTCCAGGGAGTGCAGAAAGAGTGTTTCAAACCTGCTCTATAAAAGAATATTTAACTCTGTGACTTGAATGCAAACATCACAGAGCAGTTTCTGACAATGCTTCCGTCTAGATTTTTTATGAAGATATTCTCGTTTCCAACGAAATCTTCAAAGCTATCTAAATATCAACTTGCAGATTCTACTAAAGGAATGTTTCCAAAATGCTGTATCCAAACAAAGGTTCAACTCTGTGAATTGAGGACATACAGCACAAAGAAGTTTCTGAGAATGCTTCTGTCTAGATTTAATATGAAGATAACCCGTTTCCAACGAAATCCTCAAAGCTATCCAAATATCCACTGGCAGATTCTACAAAAAGAGTGTTTCAAAACTGCTCTGTCAAAAGGATGGTTCAACACTGTTACATGAGTACACACAACACAAAGAAGTTTCTGAGAACGCTTCTTTCTGGTTTTTATGAGAGGATATTTCCTTTTTCACCATAGGCCTCAAAGCGCTCGAAATGTCCACTTCCAGGTAGTGCAGAAAGAGTGTTTCAAACCTGCTCTATGAAAGGAAGTTTTCAACTCTGTGAGTGGAATGCAAACATCACAGAGAAGTTTCTGAGAATGCATCTGTCTTGAGTTTATATGAAGAAATTCCCGTTTCCAATGAAATCTTAAAATCTATCCAAATATCCACCTGCAGATTCTACAAAAGAGTGCTTCCAAAATGCTATATCAAAACAAAGGTTCAACTGTGTTCGTTGAGAACACACATCACAAATAAGTTTCTGAGAATCCTTCTGTCTAGTTTTTATTTCAAGATATTTCCTTTCTCCCCATAGGCCTGAAAGCGCTTGAAATGTCCACTTCCAGATACTACAGAGTGTTTCAAACCTGCACTATGAAAAGGAATGTTCAATTCTGTGACTTGAATGCAAACATCAGAAAGAAGTTCCTGAGAATGCTTCTCTCTAGATTTTAAACGTAATCCCGTTTCCAACGAAATCCACAAAGCTATCCAATTATCCACTTTCAGATTCCACCAAAAGACTGTTTTAAAACTGCTCTGTAAAAAGAAATGTTCAACGCTCTTAGTTGAATACACACATCTCAAACAAGTTTCTGAGAAGGCTTCCGTCTAGTTTTTATGGGAAGATATTTCCTTTTTCACCATAGGCCTCAAAGCGCTCGAAATCTCCACTTCCAGGGAGTGCAGAAAGAGTGTTTCAAACCTGCTCTATAAAAGAATATTTAACTCTGTGACTTGAATGCAAACATCACAGAGCAGTTTCTGACAATGCTTCCGTCTAGATTTTTTATGAAGATATTCCCGTTTCCAACGAAATCTTCAAAGCTATCTCAATATCAACTTGCAGATTCTACTAAAGGAATGTTTCCAAAATGCTGTATCCAAACAAAGGTTCAACTCTGTGAATTGAGGACATACAGCACAAAGAAGTTTCTGAGAATGCTTCTGTCTAGATTTAATATGAAGATAACCCGTTTGCAACGACATCCTCAAAGCTATCCAAATATCCACTGGCAGATTCTACAAAAAGAGTGTTTCAAAACTGCTCTGTCAAAAGGATGGTTCAACACTGTTACATGAGTACACACAACACAAAGAAGTTTCTGAGAACGCTTCTTTCTGGTTTTTATGAGAGGATATTTCCTTTTTCACCATAGGCCTCAAAGCGCTCGAAATGTCCACTTCCAGGTAGTGCAGAAAGAGTGTTTCAAACCTGCTCTATGAAAGGAAGTGTTCAACTCCATGAGCTGAATGCAAACATCACAGAGAAGTTCCTGAGAATGCTTCTGTTTGATTTTATATGAAGAAATTCCCGTTTCCAACGAAATCTTCAAAGCTATCCACATATCCACCTGCAGATTCTTCAAAAGGAGTGTTTCCAAAATGCTGTATCAAAACCAAGGTTCAACTCTGTTAGTTGAGGACACACATCACAAATAAGTTTCTGAGAATGCTTCTGTCTAGATTTTATATGAATTTATCCCCTTTCCAACGAATCCCTCTAAGTTATCCAAGTATCCACCTGCAGATTCTACAAAAAGAGTGTTTCCAAAATGCTGTATCAAAACAAAGTTTCAACTCTGTTAGTTGAGGACACACATCACAAATAAGTTTCTGAGGATGCTTCTGTCTAGTTTTAATTTGAAGATATTTCCTTTCTCCCCATAGGCCTGAAAGCGCTTGAAATGTCCACTTCCAGATACTACAGAATGAGTGTTTCAAACCTGCTCTATCAAAGTGAATGTTCAATTCTGTGACTTCAATGCAAACATCACAAAGTAGTTCCTGAGAATGCTTCTCTCTACATTTTATATGTAATCCCGCTTCCAACGAAATCCTCAAAGCCATCCGAATATCCACTTTCTGATTCCACAAAAAGATTGTTTTAAAACTGCTCTGTAAAAACAAAAGTTCAAGTCTGTTAGTTGAATACACACATCACAAACAAGTGTCTGAGAATGCTTCTGTCTAGTTTTTATGGGAAGATATTTCCTTTTTCACCATAGGCCTCAAAGCGCTCGAAATGTCCACTTCCAGATAGTGCAGAAAGAGTGTTTCAAACGTGCTCTATAAAAGAGAATATTCAACTCTGTGACTTGAATGGAAACATCACAAAGCAGTTTCTGAGAATGCCTCTGTCTAGATTTTATATGAAGATATTCCCGTTTCCAACGAAATCTTCAAATCTATCTAAATATCAACTTGCAGATTCTACTAAAGGAATGTTTCCAAAATGCTGTATCCAAGCAATGGTTCAACTCTGTTAATTGAGGACATACAGCACAAAGAAGTTTCTGAGAATGCTTCTGTCTAGATTTTATATGAAGATATCCCGTTTCCAACGAAATCCTCAAAGCTATCCAAATATCCACTTGCAGATTCTACAAAAAGATTGTTTCAAAACTGCTGTGTCAAGAGGAAGGTTCAACTCTGTTACTTGAGTACACACATCAAAAAGAAGTTTCTGAGAATGCTTGTTTCTGGTTTTTATGAGAAGATATTTCCTTTTTCACCATAGGCCTCAAAGCGCTGCAAATGTCCACTTCCAAATATTACAAAAAGAGTGTTTCAAACCTGCTCTATGAAAGGAAGTTTTCAACTCTATGAGTGGAATGCAAACATCACAGAGAAGTTTCTGAGAATGCATCTGTCTTGAGTTTATATGAAGAAATTCCCGTTTCCAATGAAATCTTAAAATCTATCCAAATATCCACCTGCAGATTCTACAAAAGGAGTGTTTCCAAAATGCTGTATCAAAACAAAGGTTCAACTGTGTTCGTTTAGGACACACATCACAAATAAGTTTCTGAGAATCCTTCTGTCTAGTTTTTATTTGAAGATATTTCCTTTCTCCCCATAGGCCTGAAAGCGCTTGAAATGTCCACTTCCAGATACTACAGAAAGAGCGTTTCAAACCTGCACTATGAAAAGGAATGTTCAATTACTGTGACTTGAATGCAAACATCAGAAAGAAGTTCCTGAGAATGCTTCTCTCTAGATTTTATACGTCATCCCGTTTCCAACGAAATCCACAAAGCTATCCAATTATCCACTTTCAGATTCCACAAAGAGTGTTTTAAAATTGCTCTGTAACAGAAATGTTCAACTCTGTTAGTTGAATACACACATCACAAACAAGTTTCTGAGACGGCTTCTGTCTAGTTTTTATGGGAAGATATTTCCTTTTAACCATAGGCCTCAAAGAGCTCGAAATATCCACTTCCAGGTAGTGCCGAAAGAGTGTTTCAAACCTACTCTATAAAAGGGAATATTCAACTCTGTGACTTGAATGCAAACATCACAAAGCAGTTTCTGAGAATGCTTCCGTCTAGATTTTCTATGAAGATATTCCCGTTTCCAACGAAATCTTCAAAGCTATCTAAATATCAACTTGCAGATTCTACTAAAGGAATGTCTCCAAAATGCTGTATCCAAACAAAGGTTCAGCTCTGTGAATTGAGGACATACAGCACAAAGAAGTTTCTGAGAATGCTCCTGTCTGGATTTTATATGAAGATAACCCGTTTCCAACGAAATCCTCAAAGCTCTCCAAATATCCACTTGCAGATTCTACCAAAAGAGTGTTTCAAAACTGCTCTGTCAAAAGGAAGGTTCAACACTGTTACTTGAGTACACACAACACAAAGAAGTTTCTGAGAATGCTTCTTTCTGGTTTTTATGAGAAGATATTTCCTTTTTCACCATAGGCCTCAAAGCGCTCGAAATGTCCGCTTCCAGGTAGTGCAGAAAGAGTGTTTCAAACCTGCTCTATGAAAGGAAGTGTTCAACTCTACTGAGTTGAATGCAAACATCACAGAGATGTTTCCGAGAATGCTTCTGTCTTGATTTTATATGAAGATATTCCGGTTTCCAACGAAATCTTCAAAGCTATCCAAATATCCACCTGCAGATTCTACAAAAGGAGTGTTTCCAAAATGCTGTATCAAAACAAAGGTTCAACTCTGTTAGTTGAGGACACACATCACAAATAAGTTTCTGAGAATGCTTCTGTCTAGTTTTTATTTGAAGGTATTTCCTTTCTCTCCATAGGCCTGAAAGCGCTTGAAATGCCCACTTCCAGATACTAGAGAAAGAGTGTTTCAAACCTGCTCTATGAAAGGGAATGTTCAATTCTGTGACTTGAATGCAAACATCACAAAGAAGTTCCTGAGAATGCTTCTCTCTAGATATTATATGTCATCCCGTTTCCAACGAAATCCTCAAAGCTATCCAAATATCCACTTGCAGATTCTACAAAAAGAGTGTTTCAAAACTCCTCTGTCAAAAGGATGGTTCAACACTGTTACATGAGTACACACAACACAAAGAAGTTTCTGAGAATGCTTCTTTCTGGTTTCTATGAGAAGATATTTCCTTTTTCACCATAGGACTCAAAGCGCTCGAAATGTCCTCTTCCAGGTAGTGCAGAAAGAGTGTTTCAAACCTGCTCTATGAAAGGAAGTGTTCAACTCCATGAGCTGAATGCAAACATCACTGAGAAGTTTCTGAGAATGCTTCTGTTTGATTTTATATGAAGAAATTCCCGTTTCCAACGAAATCTTCAGAGCTATCCACATATCCACCTGCAGATTCTACAAAAGGAGTGTTTCCAAAATGCTGTATCAAAACCAAGGTTCAACTCTGTTAGTTGAGGACACACATCACAAATAAGTTTCTGAGAATGCTTCTGTCTAGATTTTATATGAAGATATCCCCTTTCCAACGAATCCCTCTAAGCTATCCAAATATCCACCTGCAGATTCTACAAAAAGAGTGTTTCCAAAATGCTGTATCAAAACAAAGTTTCAACTCTGTTAGTTGAGGACACACATCACAAATAAGTTTGAGGATGCTTCTGTCTAGTTTTTATTCGAAGATATTTCCTTTCTCACCATAGGCCTGAAAGCGCTTGAAATGTCCACTTCCAGATCCTACAGAATGAGTGTTTCAAACCTGCTCTATCAAAGTGAATGTTCAATTCTGTGACTTCAATGCAAACATCACAAAGAAGTTCCTGAGAATGCTTCTCTCTAGATTTTATACGTAATCCCGCTTCCAACGAAATCCTCAGAGCCATCCGAATATCCACTTTCTGATTCCACAAAAAGAGTGTTTTAAAACGGCTCTGTAAAAACAAAAGTTCAACTCTGTTAGTTGAATACACACATCACAAACAAGTTTCTGAGAATGCTTCTGTCTAGTTTTTATGGGAAGATATTTCCTTTTTCACCATAGGCCTCAAAGCGCTCGAAATGTCCACTTCCAGATAGTGCAGAAAGAGTGTTTCAAACGTGCTCTATAAAAGGGAATATTCAACTCTGTGACTTGAATGGAAACATCACAAAGCAGTTTCTGAGAATGCTTCCCTCTAGATTTTATATGGAGATATTCCCTTTTCCAACGAAATCTTCAAATCTATCTAAATATCAACTTGCAGATTCTACTCAAGGAATGTTTCCAAAATGCTGTATGCAAGCAATGGTTCAACTCTGTTAATTGAGGTCATACAGCACAAAGAAGTTTCTGAGAATGCTTCTGTCTAGATTTTATATGAAGATATCCCGTTTCCAACGAAATCCTCAAAGCTATCCAAATATCCACTTGCAGATTCTACAAAAAGATTGTTTCAAAACTGCTGTGTCAAAAGGAAGGTTCAACTCTGTTACTTGAGTACACACATCAAAAAGAAGTTTCTGAGAATGCTTGTTTCTGGTTTTTATGAGAAGATATTTCCTTTTTCACCATAGGCCTCACAGTGCTGCAAATGTCCACTTCCAAATATTACAAAAAGAGTGTTTCAAACCTGCTCTATGAAAGGAAGTTTTCAACTCTATGAGTGGAATGCAAACATCACAGAGAAGTTTCTGAGAATGCATCTGTCTTGAGTTTATATGCAGAAATTCCCGTTTCCAACGAAATCTTAAAATCTATCCAAATATCCACCTGCAGATCCTACAAAAGGAGTGTTTCCAAAATGCTGTATCAAAACAAAGGTTCAACTGTGTTCGTTTAGGACACACATCACAAATAAGTTTCTGAGAATCCTTCTGTCTAGTTTTTATTTGAAGATATTTCCTTTCTCCCCGTAGGCCTGAAAGCGCTTGAAATGTCCACTTCCAGATACTACAGAAAGAGTGTTTCAAACCTGCACTCTGAAAAGGAATGTTCAATTCTGTGACTTGAATGCAAACATCAGAAAGAAGTTCCTGAGAATGCTTCTCTCTAGATTTTATACGTCATCCCGTTTCCAACGAAATCCACAAAGCTACCCAATTATCCACTTTCAGATTCCACAGAAAGAGTGTTTTAAAATTGCTCTGTAACAGAAATGTTCAACTCTGGTAGTTGAATACACACATCACAAACAAGTTTCTGAGACGGCTTCTGTCTAGTTTTTATGGGAAGATATTTCCTTTTAACCATAGGCCTCAAAGAGCTCGAAATATCCACTTCCAGGTAGTGCCGAAAGAGTGTTTCAAACCTACTCTATAAAAGGGAATATTCAACTCTGTGACTTGAATGCAAACATCACAAAGCAGTTTCTGAGAATGCTTCCGTCTAGATTTTCTATGAAGATATTCCCGTTTCCAACGAAATCTTCAAAGCTATCTAAATATCAACTTGCAGATTCTACTAAAGGAATGTCTCCAAAATGCTGTATCCAAACAAAGGTTCAGCTCTGTGAATTGAGGACATACAGCACAAAGAAGTTTCTGAGAATGCTCCTGTCTGGATTTTATAGGAAGATAACCCGTTTCCAACGAAATCCTCAAAGCTATCCAAATATCCACTTGCAGATTCTACCAAAAGAGTGTTTCAAAACTGCTCTGTCAAAAGGAAGGTTCAACACTGTTACTTGAGTACACACAACACAAAGAAGTTTCTGAGAATGCTTCTTTCTGGTTTTTATGAGAAGATATTTCCTTTTTCACCATAGGCCTCAAAGCGCTCGAAATGTCCGCTTCCAGGTAGTGCAGAAAGAGTGTTTCAAACCTGCTCTATGAAAGGAAGTGTTCAACTCTACTGAGTTGAATGCAAACATCACAGAGATGTTTCCGAGAATGCTTCTGTCTTGATTTTATATGAAGATATTCCGGTTTCCAACGAAATCTTCAAAGCTATCCAAATATCCACCTGCAGATTCTACAAAAGGAGTGTTTCCAAAATGCTGTATCAAAACAAAGGTTCAACTCTGTTAGTTGAGGACACACATCACAAATAAGTTTCTGAGAATGCTTCTGTCTAGTTTTTATTTGAAGGTATTTCCTTTCTCTCCATAGGCCTGAAAGCGCTTGAAATGCCCACTTCCAGATACTAGAGAAAGAGTGTTTCAAACCTGCTCTATGAAAGGGAATGTTCAATTCTGTGACTTGAATGCAAACATCACAAAGAAGTTCCTGAGAATGCTTCTCTCTAGATATTATATGTCATCCCGTTTCCAACGAAATCCTCAAAGCTATCCAAATATCCACTTGCAGATTCTACAAAAAGAGTGTTTCAAAACTCCTCTGTCAAAAGGATGGTTCAACACTGTTACATGAGTACACACAACACAAAGAAGTTTCTGAGAATGCTTCTTTCTGGTTTCTATGAGAAGATATTTCCTTTTTCACCATAGGACTCAAAGCGCTCGAAATGTCCTCTTCCAGGTAGTGCAGAAAGAGTGTTTCAAACCTGCTCTATGAAAGGAAGTGTACAACTCCATGAGCTGAATGCAAACATCACTGAGAAGTTTCTGAGAATGCTTCTGTTTGATTTTATATGAAGAAATTCCCGTTTCCAACGAAATCTTCAGAGCTATCCACATATCCACCTGCAGATTCTACAAAAGGAGTGTTTCCAAAATGCTGTATCAAAACCAAGGTTCAACTCTGTTAGTTGAGGACACACATCACAAATAAGTTTCTGAGAATGCTTCTGTCTAGATTTTATATGAAGATATCCCCTTTCCAACGAATCCCTCTAAGCTATCCAAATATCCACCTGCAGATTCTACAAAAAGAGTGTTTCCAAAAGGCTGTATCAAAACAAAATTTCAACTCTGTTAGTTGAGGACACACATCACAAATAAGTTTCTGACGATGTTTCTGTCTAGTTTTTATTTGAAGATATTTCCTTTCTCACCATAGGCCTGAAAGCGCTTGAAATGTCCACTTCCAGATACTACAGAATGAGTGTTTCAAACCTGCTCTATAAAAGTGAATGATCAATTCTGTGACTTCAATGCAAACATCACAAAGAAGTTCCTGAGAATGTTTCTCTCTAGATTTTATATGTAATCCCGCTTCCAACGAAATCCTCAGAGCCATCCGAATATCCACTTTCTGATTCCACAAAAAGAGTGTTTTAAAACTGCTCTGTAGAAACAAAAGTTCAACTCAGTTGAATACACACATCACAAACAAGTTTCTGAGAATGCTTCTGTCTAGTTTTTATGGGAAGATATTTCCTTTTTCACCATAGGCCTCAAAGCGCTCGAAATGTCCACTTCCAGATAGTGCAGAAAGAGTGTTTCAAACGTGCTCTATAAAAGAGAATATTCAACTCTGTGACTTGAATGGAAACATCACAAAGCAGTTTCTGAGAATGCTTCCGTCTAGATTTTATATGAAGATATTCCCGTTTCCAACGAAATCTTCAAAGCTATCTAAATATCAACTTGCAGATTCTACTAAAGGAATGTTTCCAAAATGCTGTATCCAAGCAATGGTTCAACTCTGTTAATTGAGGACATACAGCACAAAGAAGTTTCTGAGAATGCTTCTGTCTAGATTTTATATGAAGATATCCCGTTTCCAACGAAATCCTCAAAGCTATCCAAATATCCACTTGCAGATTCTACAAAAAGATTGTTTCAAAACTGCTGTGTCAAAAGGAAGGTTCAACTCTGTTACTTGAGTACACACATCAAAAAGAAGTTTCTGAGAATGCTTGTTTCTGGTTTTTATGAGAAGATATTTCCTTTTTCACCATAGGCCTCAAAGCGCTGCAAATTTCCACTTCCAAATATTACAAAAAGAGTGTTTCAAACCTGCTCTATGAAAGGAAGTTTTCAACTCTATGAGTGGAATGCAAACATCACAGAGAAGTTTCTGAGAATGCATCTGTCTTGAGTTTCTATGAAGAAATTCCCGTTTCCAACGAAATCTTAAAATCTATCCAAATATCCACCTGCAGATTCTACAAAAGGAGTGTTTCCAAAAGGCTGTATCAAAACAAAGGTTCAACTGTGTTCGTTTAGGACACACATCACCAATAAGTTTCTGAGAATCCTTCTGTCTAGTTTTTATTTGAAGATATTTCCTTTCTCCCCATAGGCCTGAAAGCGCTTGAAATGTCCACTTCCAGATACTACAGAAAGAGCGTTTCAAACCTGCACTATGAAAAGGAATGTTCAATTCTGTGACTTGAATGCAAACATCAGAAAGAAGTTCCTGAGAATGCTTCTCTCTAGATTTTATACGTCATCCCGTTTCCAACGAAATCCACAAAGCTATCCAATTATCCACTTTCAGATTTCACAGAAAGAGTGTTTTAAAATTGCTCTGTAACAGAAATGTTCAACTCTGTTAGTTGAATACACACATCACAAACAAGTTTCTGAGACGGCTTCTGTCTAGTTTTTATGGGAAGATATTTCCTTTTAAGCATAGGCCTCAAAGAGCTCGAAATATCCACTTCCAGGTAGTGCCGAAAGAGTGTTTCAAACCTACTCTATAAAAGGGAATATTCAACTCTGTGACTTGAATGCAAACATCACAAAGCAGTTTATGAGAATGCTTCCGTCTAGATTTTCTATGAAGATATTCCCGTTTCCAACGAAATCTTCAAAGCTATCTAAATATCAACTTGCAGATTCTACTAAAGGAATGTCTCCAAAATGCTGTATCCAAACAAAGGTTCAGCTCTGTGAATTGAGGACATACAGCACAAAGAAGTTTCTGAGAATGCTCCTGTCTGGATTTTATATGAAGATAACCCGTTTCCAACGAAATCCTCAAAGCTCTCCAAATATCCACTTGCAGATTCTACCAAAAGAGTGTTTCAAAACTGCTCTGTCAAAAGGAAGGTTCAACACTGTTACTTGAGTACACACAACACAAAGAAGTTTCTGAGAATGCTTCTTTCTGGTTTTTATGAGAAGATATTTCCTTTTTCACCATAGGCCTCAAAGCGCTCGAAATGTCCGCTTCCAGGTAGTGCAGAAAGAGTGTTTCAAACCTGCTCTATGAAAGGAAGTGTTCAACTCTACTGAGTTGAATGCAAACATCACAGAGATGTTTCCGAGAATGCTTCTGTCTTGATTTTATATGAAGATATTCCGGTTTCCAACGAAATCTTCAAAGCTATCCAAATATCCACCTGCAGATTCTACAAAAGGAGTGTTTCCAAAATGCTGTATCAAAACAAAGGTTCAACTCTGTTAGTTGAGGACACACATCACAAATAAGTTTCTGAGAATGCTTCTGTCTAGTTTTTATTTGAAGGTATTTCCTTTCTCTCCATAGGCCTGAAAGCGCTTGAAATGCCCACTTCCAGATACTAGAGAAAGAGTGTTTCAAACCTGCTCTATGAAAGGGAATGTTCAATTCTGTGACTTGAATGCAAACATCACAAAGAAGTTCCTGAGAATGCTTCTCTCTAGATATTATATGTCATCCCGTTTCCAACGAAATCCTCAAAGCTATCCAAATATCCACTTGCAGATTCTACAAAAAGAGTGTTTCAAAACTGCTCTGTCAAAAGGATGGTTCAACACTGTTACATGAGTACACACAACACAAAGAAGTTTCTGAGAATGCTTCTTTCTGGTTTCTATGAGAAGATATTTCCTTTTTCACCATAAGACTCAAAGCGCTCGAAATGTCCTCTTCCAGGCAGTGCAGAAAGAGTGTTTCAAACCGGCTCTATGAAAGGAAGTGTTCAACTCCATGAACTGAATGCAAACATCACTGAGAAGTTTCTGAGAATGCTTCTGTTTGATTTTATATGAAGAAATTCCCGTTTCCAACGAAATCTTCAGAGCTATCCACATATCCACCTGCAGATTCTACAAAAGGAGTGTTTCCAAAATGCTGTATCAAAACCAAAGTTCAACTCTGTTAGTTGAGGACACACATCACAAATAAGTTTCTGAGAATGCTTCTGTCTAGATTCTATATGAAGATATCCCCTTTCCAACGAATCCCTCTAAGCTATCCAAATATCCACCTGCAGATTCTACAAAAAGAGTGTTTCCAAAATGCTGTATCAAAACAAAGTTTCAACTCTGTTAGTTGAGGACACACATCACAAATAAGTTTGAGGATGCTTCTGTCTAGTTTTTATTCGAAGATATTTCCTTTCTCACCATAGGCCTGAAAGCGCTTGAAATGTCCACTTCCAGATACTACAGAATGAGTGTTTCAAACCTGCTCTATCAAAGTGAATGTTCAATTCTGTGACTTCAATGCAAACATCACAAAGAAGTTCCTGAGAATGCTTCTCTCTAGATTTTATATGTAATCCCGCTTCCAACGAAATCCTCAGAGCCATCCGAATATCCACTTTCTGATTCCACAAAAAAGGTGTTTTAAAACGGCTCTGTAAAAACAAAAGTTCAAGTCTGTTAGTTGAATACACACATCACAAACAAATTTCTGAGAATGCTTCTGTCTAGTTTTTATGGGAAGATATTTCCTTTTTCACCATAGGCCTCAAAGCGCTCGAAATGTCCACTTCCAGATAGTGCAGAAAGAGTGTTTCAAACGTGCTCTATAAAAGGGAATATTCAACTCTGTGACTTGAATGGAAACATCACAAAGCAGTTTCTGAGAATGCTTCCCTCTAGATTTTATATGGAGATATTCCCTTTTCCAACGAAATCTTCAAATCTATCTAAATATCAACTTGCAGATTCTACTCAAGGAATGTTTCCAAAATGCTGTATCCAAGCAATGGTTGAACTCTGTTAATTGAGGACATACAGCACAAAGAAGTTTCTGAGAATGCTTCTGTCTAGATTTTATATGAAGATATCCCGTTTCCAACGAAATCCTCAAAGCTATCCAAATATCCACTTGCAGATTCTACAAAAAGATTGTTTCAAAACTGCTGTGTCAAAAGGAAGGTTCAACTCTGTTACTTGAGTACACACATCAAAAAGAAGTTTCTGAGAATGCTTGTTTCTGGTTTTTATGAGAAGATATTTCCTTTTTCACCATAGGCCTCAAAGCGCTGCAAATGTCCACTTCCAAATATTACAAAAAGAGTGTTTCAAACCTGCTCTATGAAAGGAAGTTTTCAACTCTATGAGTGGAATGCAAACATCACAGAGAAGTTTCTGAGAATGCATCTGTCTTGAGCTTCTATGAAGAAATTCCCGTTTCCAACGAAATCTTAAAATCTATCCAAATATCCACCTGCAGATCCTACAAAAGGAGTGTTTCCAAAATGCTGTATCAAAACAAAGGTTCAACTGTGTTCGTTTAGGACACACATCACAAATAAGTTTCTGAGAATCCTTCTCTCTAGTTTTTATTTGAAGATATTTCCTTTCTCCCCGTAGGCCTGAAAGCGCTTGAAATGTCCACTTCCAGATACTACAGAAAGAGTGTTTCAAACCTGCACTCTGAAAAGGAATGTTCAATTCTGTGACTTGAATGCAAACATCAGAAAGAAGTTCCTGAGAATGCTTCTCTCTAGATTTTATACGTCATCCCGTTTCCAACGAAATCCACAAAGCTATCCAATTATCCACTTTCAGATTCCACAAAGAGTGTTTTAAAATTGCTCTGTAACAGAAATGTTCAACTCTGTTAGTTGAATACACACATCACAAACAAGTTTCTGAGACGGCTTCTGTCTAGTTTTTATGGGAAGATATTTCCTTTTAACCATAGGCCTCAAAGAGCTCGAAATATCCACTTCCAGGTAGTGCCGAAAGAGTGTTTCAAACCTACTCTATAAAAGGGAATATTCAACTCTGTGACTTGAATGCAAACATCACAAAGCAGTTTCTGAGAATGCTTCCGTCTAGATTTTCTATGAAGATATTCCCGTTTCCAACGAAATCTTCAAAGCTATCTAAATATCAACTTGCAGATTCTACTAAAGGAATGTCTCCAAAATGCTGTATCCAAACAAAGGTTCAGCTCTGTGAATTGAGGACATACAGCACAAAGAAGTTTCTGAGAATGCTCCTGTCTGGATTTTATATGAAGATAACCCGTTTCCAACGAAATCCTCAAAGCTATCCAAATATCCACTTGCAGATTCTACCAAAAGAGTGTTTCAAAACTGCTCTGTCAAAACGAAGGTTCAACACTGTTACTTGAGTACACACAACACAAAGAAGTTTCTGAGAATGCTTCTTTCTGGTTTTTATGAGAAGATATTTCCTTTTTCACCATAGGCCTCAAAGAGCTCGAAATGTCCGCTTCCAGGTAGGGCAGAAAGAGTGTTTCAAACCTGCTCTATGAAAGGAAGTGTTCAACTCTACTGAGTTGAATGCAAACATCACAGAGATGTTTCCGAGAATGCTTCTGTCTTGATTTTATAGGAAGATATTCCGGTTTCCAACGAAATCTTCAAAGCTATCCAAATATCCACCTGCAGATTCTACAAAAGGAGTGTTTCCAAAATGCTGTATCAAAACAAAGGTTCAACTCTGTTAGTTGAGGACACACATCACAAATAAGTTTCTGAGAATGCTTCTGTCTAGTTTTTATTTGAAGGTATTTCCTTTCTCTCCATAGGCCTGAAAGCGCTTGAAATGCCCACTTCCAGATACTAGAGAAAGAGTGTTTCAAACCTGCTCTATGAAAGGGAATGTTCAATTCTGTGACTTGAATGCAAACATCACAAAGAAGTTCCTGAGAATGCTTCTCTCTAGATATTATATGTCATCCCGTTTCCAACGAAATCCTCAAAGCTATCCAAATATCCACTTGCAGATTCTACAAAAAGAGTGTTTCAAAACTGCTCTGTCAAAAGGATGGTTCAACACTGTTACATGAGTACACACAACACAAAGAAGTTTCTGAGAATGCTTCTTTCTGGTTTCTATGAGAAGATATTTCCTTTTTCACCATAGGCCTCAAAGCGCTCGAAAAGTCCTCTTCCAGGTAGTGCAGAAAGAGTGTTTCAAACCTGCTCTATGAAAGGAAGTGTTCAACTCCATGAGCTGAATGCAAACATCACTGAGAAGTTTCTGAGAATGCTTCTGTTTGATTTTATATGAAGAAATTCCCGTTTCCAACGAAATCTTCAGAGCTATCCACATATCCACCTGCAGATTCTACAAAAGGAGTGTTTCCAAAATGCTGTATCAAAACCAAGGTTCAACTCTGTTAGTTGAGGACACACATCACAAATAAGTTTCTGAGAATGCTTCTGTCTAGATTTTATATGAAGATATCCCCTTTCCAACGAATCCCTCTAAGCTATCCAAATATCCACCTGCAGATTCTACAAAAAGAGTGTTTCCAAAATGCTGTATCAAAACAAAGTTTCAACTCTGTTAGTTGAGGACACACATCACCAATTAGTTTGAGGATGCTTCTGTCTAGTTTTTATTCGAAGATATTTCCTTTCTCACCATAGGCCTGAAAGCGCTTGAAATGTCCACTTCCAGATACTACAGAATGAGTGTTTCAAACCTGCTCTATCAAAGTGAATGTTCAATTCTGTGACTTCAATGCAAACATCACAAAGAAGTTGCCTGAGAATGCTTCTCTCTAGATTTTATACGTAATCCCGCTTCCAACGAAATCCTCAGAGCCATCCGAATATCCACTTTCTGATTCCACAAAAAGAGTGTTTTAAAACGGCTCTGTAAAAACAAAAGTTCAACTCTGTTAGTTGAATACACACATCACAAACAAGTTTCTGAGAATGCTTCTGTCTAGTTTTTATGGGAAGATATTTCCTTTTTCACCATAGGCCTCAAAGCGCTCGAAATGTCCACTTCCAGATAGTGCAGAAAGAGTGTTTCAAACGTGCTCTATAAAAGGGAATATTCAACTCTGTGACTTGAATGGAAACATCACAAAGCAGTTTGCTGAGAATGCTTCCCTCTAGGATTTTATATGGAGATATTCCCTTTTCCAACGAAATCTTCAAATCTATCTAAATATCAACTTGCAGATTCTACTCAAGGAATGTTTCCAAAATGCTGTATCCAGGCAATGGTTCAACTCTGTTAATTGAGGACATACAGCACAAAGAAGTTTCTGAGAATGCTTCTGTCTAGATTTTATATGAAGATATCCCGTTTCCAACGAAATCCTCAAAGCTATCCAAATATCCACTTGCAGATTCTACAAAAAGATTGTTTCAAAACTGCTGTGTCAAAAGGAAGGTTCAACTCTGTTACTTGAGTACACACATCAAAAAGAAGTTTCTGAGAATGCTTGTTTCTGGTTTTTATGAGAAGATATTTCCTTTTTCACCATAGGCCTCAAAGCGCTGCAAATGTCCACTTCCAAATATTACAAAAAGAGTGTTTCAAACCTGCTCTATGAAAGGAAGTTTTCAACTCTATGAGTGGAATGCAAACATCACAGAGAAGTTTCTGAGAATGCATCTGTCTTGAGCTTCTATGAGGAAATTCCCGTTTCCAACGAAATCTTAAAATCTATCCAAATATCCACCTGCAGATCCTACAAAAGGAGTGTTTCCAAAATGCTGTATCAAAACAAAGGTTCAACTGTGTTCGTTTAGGACACACATCACAAATAAGTTTCTGAGAATCCTTCTGTCTAGTTTTTATTTGAAGATATTTCCTTTCTCCCCGTAGGCCTGAAAGCGCTTGAAATGTCCACTTCCAGATACTACAGAAAGAGTGTTTCAAACCTGCACTCTGAAAAGGAATGTTCAATTCTGTGACTTGAATGCAAACATCAGAAAGAAGTTCCTGAGAATGCTTCTCTCTAGATTTTATACGTCATCCCGTTTCCAACGAAATCCACAAAGCTATCCAATTATCCACTTTCAGATTCCACAAAAAGAGTGTTTTAAAATTGCTCTGTAACAGAAATGTTCAACTCTGGTAGTTGAATACACACATCACAAACAAGTTTCTGAGACGGCTTCTGTCTAGTTTTTATGGGAAGATATTTCCTTTTAACCATAGGCCTCAAAGAGCTCGAAATATCCACTTCCAGGTAGTGCCGAAAGAGTGTTTCAAACCTACTCTATAAAAGGGAATATTCAACTCTGTGACTTGAATGCAAACATCACAAAGCAGTTTCTGAGAATGCTTCCGTCTATATTTTCTATGAAGATATTCCCGTTTCCAACGAAATCTTCAAAGCTATCTAAATATCAACTTGCAGATTCTACTAAAGGAATGTTTCCAAAATGCTGTATCCAAAGAAAGCATCAACTCTGTGAATTGAGCACATACAGCACAAAGAAGTTTCTGAGAATGCTCCTGTCTAGATTTTATATGAAGATAACCCGTTTCCAACGAAATCCTCAAAGCTATCCAAATATCCACTTGCAGATAATACAAAAAGAGTGTTTCAAAACTGCTCTGTCAAAAGGAAAGTTCAACACTGTTACTTGAGTACACACAACACAAAGAAGTTTCTGAGAATGCTTCTTTCTGGTTTTTATGAGAAGATATTTCCTTTTTCACCATAGGCCTCAAAGCGCTCGAAATGTCCACTTCCAGGTAGTGCAGAAAGAGTGTTTCAAACCTGCTCTATGAAAGGAAGTGTTCAACTCTACTGAGTTGAATGCAAACATCACAGAGATGTTTGCCGAGAATGCTTCTGTCTTGATTTTATATGAAGATATTCCGGTTTCCAACGAAATCTTCAAAGCTATCCAAATATCCACCTGCAGATTCTACAAAAGGAGTGTTTCCAAAATGCTGTATCAAAACAAAGGTTCAACTCTGTTAGTTGAGGACACACATCACAAATAAGTTTCTGAGAATGCTTCTGTCTAGTTTTTATTTGAAGGTATTTCCTTTCTCTCCATAGGCCTGAAAGCGCTTGAAATGCCCACTTCCAGATACTAGAGAAAGAGTGTTTCAAACCTGCTCTATGAAAGGGAATGTTCAATTCTGTGACTTGAATGCAAACATCACAAAGAAGTTCCTGAGAATGCTTCTCTCTAGATATTATATGTCATCCCGTTTCCAACGAAATCCTCAAAGCTATCCAAATATCCACTTGCAGATTCTACAAAAAGAGTGTTTCAAAACTCCTCTGTCAAAAGGATGGTTCAACACTGTTACATGAGTACACACAACACAAAGAAGTTTCTGAGAATGCTTCTTTCTGGTTTCTATGAGAAGATATTTCCTTTTTCACCATAGGACTCAAAGCGCTCGAAATGTCCTCTTCCAGGTAGTGCAGAAAGAGTGTTTCAAACCGGCTCTATGAAAGGAAGTGTTCAACTCCATGAACTGAATGCAAACATCACTGAGAAGTTTCTGAGAATGCTTCTGTTTGATTTTATATGAAGAAATTCCCGTTTCCAACGAAATCTTCAGAGCTATCCACATATCCACCTGCAGATTCTACAAAAGGAGTGTTTCCAAAATGCTGTATCAAAACCAAAGTTCAACTCTGTTAGTTGAGGACACACATCACAAATAAGTTTCTGAGAATGCTTTCTGTCTAGGATTTTATATGAAGATATCCCCTTTCCAACGAATCCCTCTAAGCTATCCAAATATCCACCTGCAGATTCTACAAAAAGAGTGTTTCCAAAATGCTGTATCAAAACAAAGTTTCAACTCTGTTAGTTGAGGACACACATCACAAATAAGTTTGAGGATGCTTCTGTCTAGTTTTTATTCGAAGATATTTCCTTTCTCACCATAGGCCTGAAAGCGCTTGAAATGTCCACTTCCAGATACTACAGAATGAGTGTTTCAAACCTGCTCTATCAAAGTGAATGTTCAATTCTGTGACTTCAATGCAAACATCACAAAGAAGTTCCTGAGAATGCTTCTCTCTAGATTTTATACGTAATCCCGCTTCCAACGAAATCCTCAGAGCCATCCGAATATCCACTTTCTGATTCCACAAAAAGAGTGTTTTAAAACGGCTCTGTAAAAACAAAAGTTCAACTCTGTTAGTTGAATACACACATCACAAACAAGTTTCTGAGAATGCTTCTGTCTAGTTTTTATGGGAAGATATTTCCTTTTTCACCATAGGCCTCAAAGCGCTCGAAATGTCCACTTCCAGATAGTGCAGAAAGAGTGTTTCAAACGTGCTCTATAAAAGGGAATATTCAACTCTGTGACTTGAATGGAAACATCACAAAGCAGTTTCTGAGAATGCTTCCCTCTAGATTTTATATGGAGATATTCCGTTTTCGAACGAAATCTTCAAATCTATCTAAATATCAACTTGCAGATTCTACTCAAGGAATGTTTCCAAAATGCTGTATGCAAGCAATGGTTCAACTCTGTTAATTGAGGTCATACAGCACAAAGAAGTTTCTGAGAATGCTTCTGTCTAGATTTTATATGAAGATATCCCGTTTCCAACGAAATCCTCAAAGCTATCCAAATATCCACTTGCAGATTCTACAAAAAGATTGTTTCAAAACTGCTGTGTCAAAAGGAAGGTTCAACTCTGTTACTTGAGTACACACATCAAAAAGAAGTTTCTGAGAATGCTTGTTTCTGGTTTTTATGAGAAGATATTTCCTTTTTCACCATAGGCCTCAAAGCGCTGCAAATGTCCACTTCCAAATATTACAAAAAGAGTGTTTCAAACCTGCTCTATGAAAGGAAGTTTTCAACTCTATGAGTGGAATGCAAACATCACAGAGAAGTTTCTGAGAATGCATCTGTCTTGAGCTTCTATGAAGAAATTCCCGTTTCCAACGAAATCTTAAAATCTATCCAAATATCCACCTGCAGATCCTACAAAAGGAGTGTTTCCAAAATGCTGTATCAAAACAAAGGTTCAACTGTGTTCGTTTAGGACACACATCACAAATAAGTTTCTGAGAATCCTTCTGTCTAGTTTTTATTTGAAGATATTTCCTTTCTCCCCGTAGGCCTGAAAGCGCTTGAAATGTCCACTTCCAGATACTACAGAAAGAGTGTTTCAAACCTGCACTCTGAAAAGGAATGTTCAATTCTGTGACTTGAATGCAAACATCAGAAAGAAGTTCCTGAGAATGCTTCTCTCTAGATTTTATACGTCATCCCGTTTCCAACGAAATCCACAAAGCTATCCAATTATCCACTTTCAGATTCCACAAAGAGTGTTTTAAAATTGCTCTGTAACAGAAATGTTCAACTCTGTTAGTTGAATACACACATCACAAACAAGTTTCTGAGACGGCTTCTGTCTAGTTTTTATGGGAAGATATTTCCTTTTAACTATAGGCCTCAAAGAGCTCGAAATATCCACTTCCAGGTAGTGCCGAAAGAGTGTTTCAAACCTACTCTATAAAAGGGAATATTCAACTCTGTGACTTGAATGCAAACATCACAAAGCAGTTTCTGAGAATGCTTCCGTCTAGATTTTTTATGAAGATATTCCCGTTTCCAACGAAATCTTCAAAGCTATCTAAATATCAACTTGCAGATTCTACTAAAGGAATGTTTCCAAAATGCTGTATCCAAACAAAGGTTCAGCTCTGTGAATTGAGGACATACAGCACAAAGAAGTTTCTGAGAATGCTTCCTGTCTGGATTTTATAGGAAGATAACCCGTTTCCAACGAAATCCTCAAAGCTCTCCAAATATCCAATTGCAGATTCTACCAAAAGAGTGTTTCAAAACTGCTCTGTCAAAAGGAAGGTTCAACACTGTTACTTGAGTACACACAACACAAAGAAGTTTCTGAGAATGCTTCTTTCTGGTTTTTATGAGAAGATATTTCCTTTTTCACCATAGGCCTCAAAGCGCTCGAAATGTCCGCTTCCAGGTAGTGCAGAAAGAGTGTTTCAAACCTGCTCTATGAAAGGAAGTGTTCAACTCTACTGAGTTGAATGCAAACATCACAGAGATGTTTCCGAGAATGCTTCTGTCTTGATTTTATATGAAGATATTCCGGTTTCCAACGAAATCTTCAAAGCTATCCAAATATCCACCTGCAGATTCTACAAAAGGAGTGTTTCCAAAATGCTGTATCAAAACAAAGGTTCAACTCTGTTAGTTGAGGACACACATCACAAATAAGTTTCTGAGAATGCTTCTGTCTAGTTTTTATTTGAAGGTATTTCCTTTCTCTCCATAGGCCTGAAAGCGCTTGAAATGCCCACTTCCAGATACTAGAGAAAGAGTGTTTCAAACCTGCTCTATGAAAGGGAATGTTCAATTCTGTGACTTGAATGCAAACATCACAAAGAAGTTCCTGAGAATGCTTCTCTCTAGATATTATATGTCATCCCGTTTCCAATGAAATCCTCAAAGCTATCCAAATATCCACTTGCAGATTCTACAAAAAGAGTGTTTCAAAACTCCTCTGTCAAAAGGATGGTTCAACACTGTTACATGAGTACACACAACACAAAGAAGTTTCTGAGAATGCTTCTTTCTGGTTTCTATGAGAAGATATTTCCTTTTTCACCATAGGACTCAAAGCGCTCGAAATGTCCTCTTCCAGGTAGTGCAGAAAGAGTGTTTCAAACCTGCTCTATGAAAGGAAGTGTACAACTCCATGAGCTGAATGCAAACATCACTGAGAAGTTTCTGAGAATGCTTCTGTTTGATTTTATATGAAGAAATTCCCGTTTCCAACGAAATCTTCAGAGCTATCCACATATCCTACAAAAAGAGTGTTTCCAAAATGCTGTATCAAAACAAAGTTTCAACTCTGTTAGTTGAGGACACACATCACAAATAAGTTTCTGAGGATGCTTCTGTCTAGTTTTTATTCGAAGATATTTCCTTTCTCACCATAGGCCTGAAAGCGCTTGAAATGTCCACTTCCAGATACTACAGAATGAGTGTTTCAAACCTGCTCTATAAAAGTGAATGTTCAATTCCGTGACTTCAATGCAAACATCAGAAAGAAGTTCCTGAGAATGCTTCTCTCTAGATTTTATACGTAATCCCGCTTCCAACGAAATCCTCAGAGCCATCCGAATATCCACTTTCTGATTCCACAAAAAGAGTGTTTTAAAACGGCTCTGTAAAAACAAAAGTTCAACTCTGTTAGTTGAATACACACATCACAAACAAGTTTCTGAGAATGCTTCTGTCTAGTTTTTATGGGAAGATATTTCCTTTTTCACCATAGGCCTCAAAGCGCTCGAAATGTCCGCTTCCAGATAGTGCAGAAAGAGTGTTTCAAACGTGCTCTATAAAAGGGAATATTCGACTCTGTGACTTGAATGGAAACATCACAAAGCAGTTTCTGAGAATGCTTCCCTCTAGATTTTATATGGAGATATTCCCTTTTCCAACGAAATCTTCAAATCTATCTAAATATCAACTTGCAGATTCTACTCAAGGAATGTTTCCAAAATGCTGTATCCAGGCAATGGTTCAACTCTGTTAATTGAGGACATACAGCACAAAGAAGTTTCTGAGAATGCTTCTGTCTAGATTTTATATGAAGATATCCCGTTTCCAACGAAATCCTCAAAGCTATCCAAATATCCACTTGCAGATTCTACAAAAAGATTGTTTCAAAACTGCTGTGTCAAGAGGAAGGTTCAACTCTGTTACTTGAGTACACACATCAAAAAGAAGTTTCTGAGAATGCTTGTTTCTGGTTTTTATGAGAAGATATTTCCTTTTTCACCATAGGCCTCAAAGCGCTGCAAATGTCCACTTCCAAATATTACAAAAAGAGTGTTTCAAACCTGCTCTATGAAAGGAAGTTTTCAACTCTATGAGTGGAATGCAAACATCACAGAGAAGTTTCTGAGAATGCATCTGTCTTGAGCTTCTATGAAGAAATTCCCGTTTCCAACGAAATCTTAAAATCTATCCAAATATCCACCTGCAGATCCTACAAAAGGAGTGTTTCCAAAATGCTGTATCAAAACAAAGGTTCAACTGTGTTCGTTTAGGACACACATCACAAATAAGTTTCTGAGAATCCTTCTGTCTAGTTTTTATTTGAAGATATTTCCTTTCTCCCCGTAGGCCTGAAAGCGCTTGAAATGTCCACTTCCAGATACTACAGAAAGAGTGTTTCAAACCTGCACTCTGAAAAGGAATGTTCAATTCTGTGACTTGAATGCAAACATCAGAAAGAAGTTCCTGAGAATGCTTCTCTCTAGATTTTATACGTCATCCCGTTTCCAACGAAATCCACAAAGCTATCCAATTATCCACTTTCAGATTCCACAAAAAGAGTGTTTTAAATTGCTCTGTAACAGAAATGTTCAACTCTGTTAGTTGAATACACACATCACAAACAAGTTTCTGAGACGGCTTCTGTCTAGTTTTTATGGGAAGATATTTCCTTTTAACCATAGGCCTCAAAGAGCTCGAAATATCCACTTCCAGGTAGTGCCGAAAGAGTGTTTCAAACCTACTCTATAAAAGGGAATATTCAACTCTGTGACTTGAATGCAAACATCACAAAGCAGTTTCTGAGAATGCTTCCGTCTAGATTTTCTATGAAGATATTCCCGTTTCCAACGAAATCTTCAAAGCTATCTAAATATCAACTTGCAGATTCTACTAAAGGAATGTCTCCAAAATGCTGTATCCAAACAAAGGTTCAGCTCTGTGAATTGAGGACATACAGCACAAAGAAGTTTCTGAGAATGCTCCTGTCTGGATTTTATAGGAAGATAACCCGTTTCCAACGAAATCCTCAAAGCTCTCCAAATATCCACTTGCAGATTCTACCAAAAGAGTGTTTCAAAACTGCTCTGTCAAAAGGAAGGTTCAACACTGTTACTTGAGTACACACAACACAAAGAAGTTTCTGAGAATGCTTCTTTCTGGTTTTTATGAGAAGATATTTCCTTTTTCACCATAGGCCTCAAAGCGCTCGAAATGTCCGCTTCCAGGTAGTGCAGAAAGAGTGTTTCACACCTGCTCTATGAAAGGAAGTGTTCAACTCTACTGAGTTGAATGCAAACATCACAGAGATGTTTCCGAGAATGCTTCTGTCTTGATTTTATATGAAGATATTCTGGTTTCCAACGAAATCTTCAAAGCTATCCAAATATCCACCTGCAGATTCTACAAAAGGAGTGTTTCCAAAATGCTGTATCAAAACAAAGGTTCAACTCTGTTAGTTGAGGACACACATCACAAATAAGTTTCTGAGAATGCTTCTGTCTAGTTTTTATTTGAAGGTATTTCCTTTCTCTCCATAGGCCTGAAAGCGCTTGAAATGCCCACTTCCAGATACTAGAGAAAGAGTGTTTCAAACCTGCTCTATGAAAGGGAATGTTCAATTCTGTGACTTGAATGCAAACATCACAAAGAAGTTCCTGAGAATGCTTCTCTCTAGATATTATATGTCATCCCGTTTCCAACGAAATCCTCAAAGCTATCCAAATATCCACTTGCAGATTCTACAAAAAGAGTGTTTCAAAACTGCTCTGTCAAAAGGATGGTTCAACACTGTTACATGAGTACACACAACACAAAGAAGTTTCTGAGAATGCTTCTTTCTGGTTTCTATGAGAAGATATTTCCTTTTTCACCATAGGACTCAAAGCGCTCGAAATGTCCTCTTCCAGGTAGTGCAGAAAGAGTGTTTCAAACCGGCTCTATGAAAGGAAGTGTTCAACTCCATGAACTGAATGCAAACATCACTGAGAAGTTTCTGAGAATGCTTCTGTTTGATTTTATATGAAGAAATTCCCGTTTCCAACGAAATCTTCAGAGCTATCCACATATCCACCTGCAGATTCTACAAAAGGAGTGTTTCCAAAATGCTGTATCAAAACCAAAGTTCAACTCTGTTAGTTGAGGACACACATCACAAATAAGTTTCTGAGAATGCTTCTGTCTAGATTCTATATGAAGATATCCCCTTTCCAACGAATCCCTCTAAGCTATCCAAATATCCACCTGCAGATTCTACAAAAAGAGTGTTTCCAAAATGCTGTATCAAAACAAAGTTTCAACTCTGTTAGTTGAGGACACACATCACAAATAAGTTTGAGGATGCTTCTGTCTAGTTTTTATTCGAAGATATTTCCTTTCTCACCATAGGCCTGAAAGCGCTTGAAATGTCCACTTCCAGATACTACAGAATGAGTGTTTCAAACCTGCTCTATCAAAGTGAATGTTCAATTCTGTGACTTCAATGCAAACATCACAAAGAAGTTCCTGAGAATGCTTCTCTCTAGATTTTATATGTAATCCCGCTTCCAACGAAATCCTCAGAGCCATCCGAATATCCACTTTCTGATTCCACAAAAAGAGTGTTTTAAAACGGCTCTGTAAAAACAAAAGTTCAACTCTGTTAGTTGAATACACACATCACAAACAAGTTTCTGAGAATGCTTCTGTCTAGTTTTTATGGGAAGATATTTCCTTTTTCACCATAGGCCTCAAAGCGCTCGAAATGTCCACTTCCAGATAGCGCAGAAAGAGTGTTTCAAACGTGCTCTATAAAAGGGAATATTCAACTCTGTGACTTGAATGGAAACATCACAAAGCAGTTTCTGAGAATGCTTCCCTCTAGATTTTATATGGAGATATTCCTGTTTTCGAACGAAATCTTCAAATCTATCTAAATATCAACTTGCAGATTCTACTCAAGGAATGTTTCCAAAATGCTGTATGCAAGCAATGGTTCAACTCTGTTAATTGAGGTCATACAGCACAAAGAAGTTTCTGAGAATGCTTCTGTCTAGATTTTATATGAAGATATCCCGTTTCCAACGAAATCCTCAAAGCTATCCAAATATCCACTTGCAGATTCTACAAAAAGATTGTTTCAAAACTGCTGTGTCAAAAGGAAGGTTCAACTCTGTTACTTGAGTACACACATCAAAAAGAAGTTTCTGAGAATGCTTGTTTCTGGTTTTTATGAGAAGATATTTCCTTTTTCACCATAGGCCTCAAAGCGCTGCAAATGTCCACTTCCAAATATTACAAAAAGAGTGTTTCAAACCTGCTCTATGAAAGGAAGTTTTCAACTCTATGAGTGGAATGCAAACATCACAGAGAAGTTTCTGAGAATGCATCTGTCTTGAGCTTCTATGAAGAAATTCCCGTTTCCAACGAAATCTTAAAATCTATCCAAATATCCACCTGCAGATCCTACAAAAGGAGTGTTTCCAAAATGCTGTATCAAAACAAAGGTTCAACTGTGTTCGTTTAGGACACACATCACAAATAAGTTTCTGAGAATCCTTCTGTCTAGTTTTTATTTGAAGATATTTCCTTTCTCCCCGTAGGCCTGAAAGCGCTTGAAATGTCCACTTCCAGATACTACAGAAAGAGTGTTTCAAACCTGCACTCTGAAAAGGAATGTTCAATTCTGTGACTTGAATGCAAACATCAGAAAGAAGTTCCTGAGAATGCTTCTCTCTAGATTTTATACGTCATCCCGTTTCCAACGAAATCCACAAAGCTATCCAATTATCCACTTTCAGATTCCACAGAAAGAGTGTTTTAAAATTGCTCTGTAACAGAAATGTTCAACTCTGGTAGTTGAATACACACATCACAAACAAGTTTCTGAGACGGCTTCTGTCTAGTTTTTATGGGAAGATATTTCCTTTTAACCATAGGCCTCAAAGAGCTCGAAATATCCACTTCCAGGTAGTGCCGAAAGAGTGTTTCAAACCTACTCTATAAAAGGGAATATTCAACTCTGTGACTTGAATGCAAACATCACAAAGCAGTTTCTGAGAATGCTTCCGTCTAGATTTTCTATGAAGATATTCCCGTTTCCAACGAAATCTTCAAAGCTATCTAAATATCAACTTGCAGATTCTACTAAAGGAATGTCTCCAAAATGCTGTATCCAAACAAAGGTTCAGCTCTGTGAATTGAGGACATACAGCACAAAGAAGTTTCTGAGAATGCTCCTGTCTGGATTTTATAGGAAGATAACCCGTTTCCAACGAAATCCTCAAAGCTATCCAAATATCCACTTGCAGATTCTACCAAAAGAGTGTTTCAAAACTGCTCTGTCAAAAGGAAGGTTCAACACTGTTACTTGAGTACACACAACACAAAGAAGTTTCTGAGAATGCTTCTTTCTGGTTTTTATGAGAAGATATTTCCTTTTTCACCATAGGCCTCAAAGCGCTTTAAATCTCCGCTTCCAGGTAGGGCAGAAAGAGTGTTTCAAACCTGCTCTATGAAAGGAAGTGTTCATCTCTACTGAGTTGAATGCAAACATCACAGAGATGTTTCCGAGAATGCTTCTGTCTTGATTTTATATGAAGATATTCCGGTTTCCAACGAAATCTTCAAAGCTATCCAAATATCCACCTGCAGATTCTACAAAAGGAGTGTTTCCAAAATGCTGTATCAAAACAAAGGTTCAACTCTGTTAGTTGAGGACACACATCACAAATAAGTTTCTGAGAATGCTTCTGTCTAGTTTTTATTTGAAGGTACTTCCTTTCTCTCCATAGGCCTGAAAGCGCTTGAAATGCCCACTTCCAGATACTAGAGAAAGTGTTTCAAACCTGCTCTATGAAAGGGAATGTTCAATTCTGTGACTTGAATGCAAACATCACAAAGAAGTTCCTGAGAATGCTTCTCTCTAGATATTATATGTCATCCCGTTTCCAACGAAATCCTCAAAGCTATCCAAATATCCACTTGCAGATTCTACAAAAAGAGTGTTTCAAAACTGCTCTGTCAAAAGGATGGTTCAACACTGTTACATGAGTACACACAACACAAAGAAGTTTCTGAGAAGGCTTCTTTCTGGTTTTTATGAGAAGATATTTCCTTTTTCACCATAGGCCTCAAAGCGCTCGAAATGTCCGCTTCCAGGTAGTGCAGAAAGAGTGTTTCAAACCGGCTCTATGAAAGGAAGTGTTCAAATCCATGAGCTGAATGCAAACATCACTGAGAAGTTTCTGAGAATGCTTCTGTTTGATTTAATATGAAGAAATTCCCGTTTCCAACGAAATCTTCAAAGCTATCCACATATCCACCTGCAGATTCTACAAAAGGAGTGTTTCCAAAATGCTGTATCAAAACCAAGGTTCAACTCTGTTAGTTGAGGACACACATCACAAATAAGTTTCTGAGAATGCTTCTGTCTAGATTTTATATGAAGATATCCCCTTTCCAACGAATCCCTCTAAGCTATCCAAATATTCTCCTGCAGATTCTACAAAAAGAGTGTTTCCAAAATGCTGTATCAAAACAAAGGTTCAACTCTGTTAGTTGAGGACACACATCACAAATAAGTTTCTGAGGATGCTTCTGTCTAGTTTTTATTTGAAGATATTTCCTTTGTCACCGTAGGCCTGAAAGCGCTTGAAATGTCCACTTCCAGATACTACACAATGAGTGTTTCAAACCTGCTCTATCAAAGTGAATGTTCAATTCTGTGACTTGAATGCAAACATCAGAAAGAAGTTCCTGAGAATGCTTCTCTCTAGATTTTATACGTCATCCCGTTTCCAACGAAATCCACAAAGCTATCCAATTATCCACTTTCAGATTCCACAAAAAGAGTGTTTTAAAACTGCTCTGTAAAAAGAAATGTTCAACGCTCTTAGTTGAATACACACATCTCAAACAAGTTTCTGAGAAGGCTTCCGTCTAGTTTTTATGGGAAGATATTTCGTTTTTCACCATAGGCCTCAAAGCGCTCAAAATCTCCACTTCCAGGGAGTGCAGAAAGAGTGTTTCAAACCTGCTCTGTAAAAGAATATTTAACTCTGTGACTTGAATGGAAACATCACAAAGCAGTTTCTGACAATGCTTCCCTCTAGATTTTTTATGAAGATATTCCCGTTTCCAACAAAATCTTCAAAGCTATCTAAATATCAACTTGCAGATTCTACTAAAGGAATATTTCCAAAATGTTGTATCCAAACAAAGGTTCAACTCTGTGAATTGAGGACATACAGCACAAAGAAGTTTCTGAGAATGCTTCTGTCTAGATTTAATATGAAGATAACCCGTTTCCAACGAAATCCTCAAAGCTATCCAAATATCCACTTGCAGATTCTACAAAAAGAGTGTTTCAAAACTGCTCTGTCAAAAGGATGGTTCAACACTGTTACATGAGTACACACAACACAAAGAAGTTTCTGAGAACGCTTCTTTCTGGTTTTTATGAGAAGATATTTCCTTTTTCACCATAGGCCTCAAAGCGCTTGAAATGTCTACTTCCTGGTAGTGCAGAAAGAGTGTTTCAAAGGTGCTCTCTGAAAGGAAGTGTTCAACTCCATGAGCTGAATGCAAACATCACAGAGAAGTTTCTGAGAATGCTTCTGTTTGATTTTATATGAAGAAATTCCCGTTTCCAACGAAATCTTCAAAGCTATCCACATATCCACCTACAGATTCTACAAAAGGAGTGTTTCCAAAATGCTGTATTAAAACCAAGGTTCAACTCTGTTAGTTGAGGACACACATCACAAATAAGTTTCTGAGAATGCTTCTGTCTAGATTTTATATGAAGATATCCCCTTTCCAACGAATCCCTCTAAGCTATCCAAATATCCACCTGCAGATTCTACAAAAAGAGTGTTTCCAAAATGCTGTATCAAAACAAAGTTTCAACTCTGTTAGTTGAGGACACACATCACAAATAAGTTTCTGAGGATGCTTCTGTCTAGTTTTTATTCGAAGATATTTCCTTTCTCACCATAGGCCTGAAAGCGCTTGAAATGTCCACTTCCAGATCCTACAGAATGAGTGTTTCAAACCTGCTCTATCAAAGTGAATGTTCAATTCTGTGACTTCAATGCAAACATCACAAAGAAGTTCCTGAGAATGCTTCTCTCTAGATTTTATATGTAATCCCGCTTCCAACGAAATCCTCAGAGCCATCCGAATATCCACTTTCTGATTCCACAAAAAGAGTGTTTTAAAACGGCTCTGTAAAAACAAAAGTTCAACTCTGTTAGTTGAATACACACATCACAAACAAGTTTCTGAGAATGCTTCTGTCTAGTTTTTATGGGAAGATATTTCCTTTTTCACCATAGGCCTCAAAGCGCTCGAAATGTCCACTTCCAGATAGTGCAGAAAGAGTGTTTCAAACGTGCTCTATAAAAGGGAATATTCAACTCTGTGACTTGAATGGAAACATCACAAAGCAGTTTCTGAGAATGCTTCCCTCTAGATTTTATATGGAGATATTCCCTTTTCCAACGAAATCTTCAAATCTATCTAAATATCAACTTGCAGATTCTACTCAAGGAATGTTTCCAAAATGCTGTATCCAAGCAATGGTTCAACTCTGTTAATTGAGGACATACAGCACAAAGAAGTTTCTGAGAATGCTTCTGTCTAGATTTTATATGAAGATATCCCGTTTCCAACGAAATCCTCAAAGCTATCCAAATATCCACTTGCAGATTCTACAAAAAGATTGTTTCAAAACTGCTGTGTCAAAAGGAAGGTTCAACTCTGTTACTTGAGTACACACATCAAAAAGAAGTTTCTGAGAATGCTTGTTTCTGGTTTTTATGAGAAGATATTTCCTTTTTCACCATAGGCCTCAAAGCGCTGCAAATGTCCACTTCCAAATATTACAAAAAGAGTGTTTCAAACCTGCTCTATGAAAGGAAGTTTTCAACTCTATGAGTGGAATGCAAACATCACAGAGAAGTTTCTGAGAATGCATCTGTCTTGAGTTTATATGCAGAAATTCCCGTTTCCAACGAAATCTTAAAATCTATCCAAATATCCACCTGCAGATCCTACAAAAGGAGTGTTTCCAAAATGCTGTATCAAAACAAAGGTTCAACTGTGTTCGTTTAGGACACACATCACAAATAAGTTTCTGAGAATCCTTCTGTCTAGTTTTTATTTGAAGATATTTCCTTTCTCCCCGTAGGCCTGAAAGCGCTTGAAATGTCCACTTCCAGATACTACAGAGTGTTTCAAACCTGCACTCTGAAAAGGAATGTTCAATTCTGTGACTTGAATGCAAACATCAGAAAGAAGTTCCTGAGAATGCTTCTCTCTAGATTTTATACGTCATCCCGTTTCCAACGAAATCCACAAAGCTATCCAATTATCCACTTTCAGATTCCACAGAAAGAGTGTTTTAAAATTGCTCTGTAACAGAAATGTTCAACTCTGGTAGTTGAATACACACATCACAAACAAGTTTCCTGAGACGGCTTCTGTCTAGTTTTTATGGGAAGATATTTCCTTTTAACCATAGGCCTCAAAGAGCTCGAAATATCCACTTCCAGGTAGTGCCGAAAGAGTGTTTCAAACCTACTCTATAAAAGGGAATATTCAACTCTGTGACTTGAATGCAAACATCACAAAGCAGTTTCTGAGAATGCTTCCGTCTAGATTTTCTATGAAGATATTCCCGTTTCCAACGAAATCTTCAAAGCTATCTAAATATCAACTTGCAGATTCTACTAAAGGAATGTCTCCAAAATGCTGTATCCAAACAAAGGTTCAGCTCTGCGAATTGAGGACATACAGCACAAAGAAGTTTCTGAGAATGCTCCTGTCTGGATTTTATATGAAGATAACCCGTTTCCAACAAAATCCTCAAAGCTATCCAAATATCCACTTGCAGATTCTACCAAAAGAGTGTTTCAAAACTGCTCTGTCAAAAGGAAGGTTCAACACTGTTACTTGAGTACACACAACACAAAGAAGTTTCTGAGAATGCTTCTTTCTGGTTTTTATGAGAAGATATTTCCTTTTTCACCATAGGCCTCAAAGCGCTCGAAATGTCCGCTTCCAGGTAGTGCAGAAAGAGTGTTTCAAACCTGCTCTATGAAAGGAAGTGTTCAACTCTACTGAGTTGAATGCAAACATCACAGAGATGTTTCCGAGAATGCTTCTGTCTTGATTTTATATGAAGATATTCCGGTTTCCAACGAAATCTTCAAAGCTATCCAAATATCCACCTGCAGATTCTACAAAAGGAGTGTTTCCAAAATGCTGTATCAAAACAAAGGTTCAACTCTGTTAGTTGAGGACACACATCACAAATAAGTTTCTGAGAATGCTTCTGTCTAGTTTTTATTTGAAGGTATTTCCTTTCTCTCCATAGGCCTGAAAGCGCTTGAAATGCCCACTTCCAGATACTAGAGAAAGAGTGTTTCAAACCTGCTCTATGAAAGGGAATGTTCAATTCTGTGACTTGAATGCAAACATCACAAAGAAGTTCCTGAGAATGCTTCTCTCTAGATTTTATACGTAATCCCGCTTCCAACGAAATCCTCAGAGCCATCCGAATATCCACTTTCTGATTCCACAAAAAGAGTGTTTTAAAACGGCTCTGTAAAAACAAAAGTTCAACTCTGTTAGTTGAATACACACATCACAAACAAGTTTCTGAGAATGCTTCTGTCTAGTTTTTATGGGAAGATATTTCCTTTTTCACCATAGGCCTCAAAGCGCTCGAAATGTCTGCTTCCAGATAGTGCAGAAAGAGTGTTTCAAACGTGCTCTATAAAAGGGAATATTCAACTCTGTGACTTGAATGGAAACATCACAAAGCAGTTTCTGAGAATGCTTCCCTCTAGATTTTATATGGAGATATTCCCTTTTCCAACGAAATCTTCAAATCTATCTAAATATCAACTTGCAGATTCTACTCAAGGAATGTTTCCAAAATGCTGTATCCAGGCAATGGTTCAACTCTGTTAATTGAGGACATACAGCACAAAGAAGTTTCTGAGAATGCTTCTGTCTAGATTTTATATGAAGATATCCCGTTTCCAACGAAATCCTCAAAGCTATCCAAATATCCACTTGCAGATTCTACAAAAAGATTGTTTCAAAACTGCTGTGTCAAAAGGAAGGTTCAACTCTGTTACTTGAGTACACACATCAAAAAGAAGTTTCTGAGAATGCTTGTTTCTGGTTTTTATGAGAAGATATTTCCTTTTTCACCATAGGCCTCAAAGCACTGCAAATGTCCACTTCCAAATATTACAAAAAGAGTGTTTCAAACCTGCTCTATGAAAGGAAGTTTTCAACTCTATGAGTGGAATGCAAACATCACAGAGAAGTTTCTGAGAATGCATCTGTCTTGAGCTTCTATGCAGAAATTCCCGTTTCCAATGAAATCTTAAAATCTATCCAAATATCCACCTGCAGATCCTACAAAAGGAGTGTTTCCAAAATGCTGTATCAAAACAAAGGTTCAACTGTGTTCGCTTAGGACACACATCACAAATAAGTTTCTGAGAATCCTTCTCTCTAGTTTTTATTTGAAGATATTTCCTTTCTCCCCATAGGCCTGAAAGCGCTTGAAATGTCCACTTCCAGATACTACAGAAAGAGTGTTTCAAACCTGCACTCTGAAAAGGAATGTTCAATTCTGTGACTTGAATGCAAACATCAGAAAGAAGTTCCTGAGAATGCTTCTCTCTAGATTTTATACGTCATCCCGTTTCCAACGAAATCCACAAAGCTATCCAATTATCCACTTTCAGATTCCACAGAAAGAGTGTTTTAAAATTGCTCTGTAACAGAAATGTTCAACTCTGGTAGTTGAATACACACATCACAAACAAGTTTCTGAGACGGCTTCTGTCTAGTTTTTATGGGAAGATATTTCCTTTTAACCATAGGCCTCAAAGAGCTCGAAATATCCACTTCCAGGTAGTGCCGAAAGAGTGTTTCAAACCTACTCTATAAAAGGGAATATTCAACTCTGTGACTTGAATGCAAACATCACAAAGCAGTTTCTGAGAATGCTTCCGTCTAGATTTTCTATGAAGATATTCCCGTTTCCAACGGAATCTTCAAAGCTATCTAAATATCAACTTGCAGATTCTACTAAAGGAATGTCTCCAAAATGCTGTATCCAAACAAAGGTTCAGCTCTGTGAATTGAGGACATACAGCACAAAGAAGTTTCTGAGAATGCTCCTGTCTGGATTTTATAGGAAGATAACCCGTTTCCAACGAAATCCTCAAAGCTATCCAAATATCCACTTGCAGATTCTACCAAAAGAGTGTTTCAAAACTACTCTGTCAAAAGGAAGGTTCAACACTGTTACTTGAGTACACACAACACAAAGAAGTTTCTGAGAATGCTTCTTTCTGGTTTTTATGAGAAGATATTTCCTTTTTCACCATAGGCCTCAAAGCGCTCGAAATGTCCGCTTCCAGGTAGTGCAGAAAGAGTGTTTCAAACCTGCTCTATGAAAGGAAGTGTTCAACTCTACTGAGTTGAATGCAAACATCACAGAGATGTTTCCGAGAATGCTTCTGTCTTGATTTTATATGAAGATATTCCGGTTTCCAACGAAATCTTCAAAGCTATCCAAATATCCACCTGCAGATTCTACAAAAGGAGTGTTTCCAAAATGCTGTATCAAAACAAAGGTTCAACTCTGTTAGTTGAGGACACACATCACAAATAAGTTTCTGAGAATGCTTCTGTCTAGTTTTTATTTGAAGGTATTTCCTTTCTCTCCATAGGCCTGAAAGCGCTTGAAATGCCCACTTCCAGATACTAGAGAAAGAGTGTTTCAAACCTGCTCTATGAAAGGGAATGTTCAATTCTGTGACTTGAATGCAAACATCACAAAGAAGTTCCTGAGAATGCTTCTCTCTAGATATTATATGTCATCCCGTTTCCAACGAAATCCTCAAAGCTATCCAAATATCCACTTGCAGATTCTACAAAAAGAGTGTTTCAAAACTCCTCTGTCAAAAGGATGGTTCAACACTGTTACATGAGTACACACAACACAAAGAAGTTTCTGAGAATGCTTCTTTCTGGTTTCTATGAGAAGATATTTCCTTTTTCACCATAGGACTCAAAGCGCTCGAAATGTCCTCTTCCAGGTAGTGCAGAAAGAGTGTTTCAAACCTGCTCTATAAAAGGAAGTGTACAACTCCATGAGCTGAATGCAAACATCACTGAGAAGTTTCTGAGAATGCTTCTGTTTGATTTTATATGAAGAAATTCCCGTTTCCAACGAAATCTTCAAAGCTATCCACATATTCACCTGCAGATTCTACAAAAGGAGTGTTTCCAAAATGCTGTATCAAAACCAAGGTTCAACTCTGTTAGTTGAGGACACACATCACAAATAAGTTTCTGAGAATGCTTCTGTCTAGATTTTATATGAAGATATCCCCTTTCCAACGAATCCCTCTAAGCTATCCAAATATCCACCTGCAGATTCTACAAAAAGAGTGTTTCCAAAATGCTGTATCAAAACAAAGTTTCAACTCTGTTAGTTGAGGACACACATCACAAATAAGTTTGAGGATGCTTCTGTCTAGTTTTTATTCGAAGATATTTCCTTTCTCACCATAGGCCTGAAAGCGCTTGAAATGTCCACTTCCAGATACTACAGAATGAGTGTTTCAAACCTGCTCTATCAAAGTGAATGTTCAATTCCGTGACTTCAATGCAAACATCAGAAAGAAGTTCCTGAGAATGCTTCTCTCTAGATTTTATACGTAATCCCGCTTCCAACGAAATCCTCAGAGCCATCCGAATATCCACTTTCTGATTCCACAAAAAGAGTGTTTTAAAACGGCTCTGTAAAAACAAAAGTTCAACTCTGTTAGTTGAATACACACATCACAAACAAGTTTCTGAGAATGCTTCTGTCTAGTTTTTATGGGAAGATATTTCCTTTTTCACCATAGGCCTCAAAGCGCTCGAAATGTCCGCTTCCAGATAGTGCAGAAAGAGTGTTTCAAACGTGCTCTATAAAAGGGAATATTCAACTCTGTGACTTGAATGGAAACATCACAAAGCAGTTTCTGAGAATGCTTCCCTCTAGATTTTATATGGAGATATTCCCTTTTCCAACGAAATCTTCAAATCTATCTAAATATCAACTTGCAGATTCTACTCAAGGAATGTTTCCAAAATGCTGTATCCAAGCAATGGTTCAACTCTGTTAATTGAGGACATACAGCACAAAGAAGTTTCTGAGAATGCTTCTGTCTAGATTTTATATGAAGATATCCCGTTTCCAACGAAATCCTCAAAGCTATCCAAATATCCACTTGCAGATTCTACAAAAAGATTGTTTCAAAACTGCTGTGTCAAAAGGAAGGTTCAACTCTGTTACTTGAGTACACACATCAAAAAGAAGTTTCTGAGAATGCTTGTTTCTGGTTTTTATGAGAAGATATTTCCTTTTTCACCATAGGCCTCAAAGCGCTGCAAATGTCCACTTCCAAATATTACAAAAAGAGTGTTTCAAACCTGCTCTATGAAAGGAAGTTTTCAACTCTATGAGTGGAATGCAAACATCACAGAGAAGTTTCTGAGAATGCATCTGTCTTGAGCTTCTATGAAGAAATTCCCGTTTCCAACGAAATCTTAAAATCTATCCAAATATCCACCTGCAGATCCTACAAAAGGAGTGTTTCCAAAATGCTGTATCAAAACAAAGGTTCAACTGTGTTCGTTTAGGACACACATCACAAATAAGTTTCTGAGAATCCTTCTGTCTAGTTTTTATTTGAAGATATTTCCTTTCTCCCCGTAGGCCTGAAAGCGCTTGAAATGTCCACTTCCAGATACTACAGAAAGAGTGTTTCAAACCTGCACTCTGAAAAGGAATGTTCAATTCTGTGACTTGAATGCAAACATCAGAAAGAAGTTCCTGAGAATGCTTCTCTCTAGATTTTATACGTCATCCCGTTTCCAACGAAATCCACAAAGCTATCCAATTATCCACTTTCAGATTCCACAAAGAGTGTTTTAAAATTGCTCTGTAACAGAAATGTTCAACTCTGTTAGTTGAATACACACATCACAAACAAGTTTCTGAGACGGCTTCTGTCTAGTTTTTATGGGAAGATATTTCCTTTTAACCATAGGCCTCAAAGAGCTCGAAATATCCACTTCCAGGTAGTGCCGAAAGAGTGTTTCAAACCTACTCTATAAAAGGGAATATTCAACTCTGTGACTTGAATGCAAACATCACAAAGCAGTTTGCTGAGAATGCTTCCGTCTAGCATTTTCTATGAAGATATTCCCGTTTCCAACGAAATCTTCAAAGCTATCTAAATATCAACTTGCAGATTCTACTAAAGGAATGTCTCCAAAATGCTGTATCCAAACAAAGGTTCAGCTCTGTGAATTGAGGACATACAGCACAAAGAAGTTTCTGAGAATGCTCCTGTCTGGATTTTATATGAAGATAACCCGTTTCCAACGAAATCCTCAAAGCTATCCAAATATCCACTTGCAGATTCTACCAAAAGAGTGTTTCAAAACTGCTCTGTCAAAAGGAAGGTTCAACACTGTTACTTGAGTACACACAACACAAAGAAGTTTCTGAGAATGCTTCTTTCTGGTTTTTATGAGAAGATATTTCCTTTTTCACCATAGGCCTCAAAGCGCTCGAAATGTCCGCTTCCAGGTAGTGCAGAAAGAGTGTTTCAAACCTGCTCTATGAAAGGAAGTGTTCAACTCTACTGAGTTGAATGCAAACATCACAGAGATGTTTCCGAGAATGCTTCTGTCTTGATTTTATATGAAGATATTCCGGTTTCCAACGAAATCTTCAAAGCTATCCAAATATCCACCTGCAGATTCTACAAAAGGAGTGTTTCCAAAATGCTGTATCAAAACAAAGGTTCAACTCTGTTAGTTGAGGACACACATCACAAATAAGTTTCTGAGAATGCTTCTGTCTAGTTTTTATTTGAAGGTATTTCCTTTCTCTCCATAGGCCTGAAAGCGCTTGAAATGCCCACTTCCAGATACTAGAGAAAGAGTGTTTCAAACCTGCTCTATGAAAGGGAATGTTCAATTCTGTGACTTGAATGCAAACATCACAAAGAAGTTCCTGAGAATGCTTCTCTCTAGATTTTATACGTAATCCCGCTTCCAACGAAATCCTCAGAGCCATCCGAATATCCACTTTCTGATTCCACAAAAAGAGTGTTTTAAAACGGCTCTGTAAAAACAAAAGTTCAACTCTGTTAGTTGAATACACACATCACAAACAAGTTTCTGAGAATGCTTCTGTCTAGTTTTTATGGGAAGATATTTCCTTTTTCACCATAGGCCTCAAAGCGCTCGAAATGTCCGCTTCCAGATAGTGCAGAAAGAGTGTTTCAAACGTGCTCTATAAAAGGGAATATTCAACTCTGTGACTTGAATGGAAACATCACAAAGCAGTTTCTGAGAATGCTTCCCTCTAGATTTTATATGGAGATATTCCCGTTTCCAACGAAATCTTCAAATCTATCTAAATATCAACTTGCAGATTCTACTCAAGGAATGTTTCCAAAATGCTGTATCCAGGCAATGGTTCAACTCTGTTAATTGAGGACATACAGCACAAAGAAGTTTCTGAGAATGCTTCTGTCTAGATTTTATATGAAGATATCCCGTTTCCAACGAAATCCTCAAAGCTATCCAAATATCCACTTGCAGATTCTACAAAAAGATTGTTTCAAAACTGCTGTGTCAAAAGGAAGGTTCAACTCTGTTACTTGAGTACACACATCAAAAAGAAGTTTCTGAGAATGCTTGTTTCTGGTTTTTATCAGAAGATATTTCCTTTTTCACCATAGGCCTCAAAGCGCTGCAAATGTCCACTTCCAAATATTACAAAAAGAGTGTTTCAAACCTGCTCTATGAAAGGAAGTTTTCAACTCTATGAGTGGAATGCAAACATCACAGAGAAGTTTCTGAGAATGCATCTGTCTTGAGCGTCTATGAAGAAATTCCCGTTTCCAACAAAATCTTAAAATCTATCCAAATATCCACCTGCAGATCCTACAAAAGGAGTGTTTCCAAAATGCTGTATCAAAACAAAGGTTCAACTGTGTTCGTTTAGGACACACATCACAAATAAGTTTCTGAGAATCCTTCTGTCTAGTTTTTATTTGAAGATATTTCCTTTCTCCCCGTAGGCCTGAAAGCGCTTGAAATGTCCACTTCCAGATACTACAGAAAGAGTGTTTCAAACCTGCACTCTGAAAAGGAATGTTCAATTCTGTGACTTGAATGCAAACATCAGAAAGAAGTTCCTGAGAATGCTTCTCTCTAGATTTTATACGTCATCCTGTTTCCAACGAAATCCACAAAGCTATCCAATTATCCACTTTCAGATTCCACAAAGAGTGTTTTAAAATTGCTCTGTAACAGAAATGTTCAACTCTGTTAGTTGAATACACAGATCACAAACAAGTTTCTGAGACGGCTTCTGTCTAGTTTTTATGGGAAGATATTTCCTTTTAACCATAGGCCTCAAAGAGCTCGAAATATCCACTTCCAGGTAGTGCCGAAAGAGTGTTTCAAACCTACTCTATAAAAGGGAATATTCAACTCTGTGACTTGAATGCAAACATCACAAAGCAGTTTCTGAGAATGCTTCCGTCTAGATTTTCTATGAAGATATTCCCGTTTCCAACGAAATCTTCAAAGCTATCTAAATATCAACTTGCAGATTCTACTAAAGGAATGTCTCCAAAATGCTGTATCCAAACAAAGGTTCAGCTCTGTGAATTGAGGACATACAGCACAAAGAAGTTTCTGAGAATGCTCCTGTCTGGATTTTATAGGAAGATAACCCGTTTCCAACGAAATCCTCAAAGCTATCCAAATATCCACTTGCAGATTCTACCAAAAGAGTGTTTCAAAACTACTCTGTCAAAAGGAAGGTTCAACACTGTTACTTGAGTACACACAACACAAAGAAGTTTCTGAGAATGCTTCTTTCTGGTTTTTATGAGAAGATATTTCCTTTTTCACCATAGGCCTCAAAGCGCTCGAAATGTCCGCTTCCAGGTAGTGCAGAAAGAGTGTTTCAAACCTGCTCTATGAAAGGAAGTGTTCAACTCTACTGAGTTGAATGCAAACATCACAGAGATGTTTCCGAGAATGCTTCTGTCTTGATTTTATATGAAGATATTCCGGTTTCCAACGAAATCTTCAAAGCTATCCAAATATCCACCTGCAGATTCTACAAAAGGAGTGTTTCCAAAATGCTGTATCAAAACAAAGGTTCAACTCTGTTAGTTGAGGACACACATCACAAATAAGTTTCTGAGAATGCTTCTGTCTAGTTTTTATTTGAAGGTATTTCCTTTCTCTCCATAGGCCTGAAAGCGCTTGAAATGCCCACTTCCAGATACTAGAGAAAGAGTGTTTCAAACCTGCTCTATGAAAGGCAATGTTCAATTCTGTGACTTGAATGCAAACATCACAAAGAAGTTCCTGAGAATGCTTCTCTCTAGATATTATATGTCATCCCGTTTCCAACGAAATCCTCAAAGCTATCCAAATATCCACTTGCAGATTCTACAAAAAGAGTGTTTCAAAACTCCTCTGTCAAAAGGATGGTTCAACACTGTTACATGAGTACACACAACACAAAGAAGTTTCTGAGAATGCTTCTTTCTGGTTTCTATGAGAAGATATTTCCTTTTTCACCATAGGACTCAAAGCGCTCGAAATGTCCTCTTCCAGGTAGTGCAGAAAGAGTGTTTCAAACCTGCTCTATGAAAGGAAGTGTACAACTCCATGAGCTGAATGCAAACATCACTGAGAAGTTTCTGAGAATGCTTCTGTTTGATTTTATATGAAGAAATTCCCGTTTCCAACGAAATCTTCAGAGCTATCCACATATCCACCTGCAGATTCTACAAAAGGAGTGTTTCCAAAATGCTGTATCAAAACCAAGGTTCAACTCTGTTAGTTGAGGACACACATCACAAATAAGTTTCTGAGAATGCTTCTGTCTAGATTTTATATGAAGATATCCCCTTTCCAACGAATCCCTCTAAGCTATCCAAATATCCACCTGCAGATTCTACAAAAAGAGTGTTTCCAAAATGCTGTATCAAAACAAAGGTTCAACTCTGTTAGTTGAGGACACACATCACAAATAAGTTTGAGGATGCTTCTGTCTAGTTTTTATTCGAAGATATTTCCTTTCTCACCATAGGCCTGAAAGCGCTTGAAATGTCCACTTCCAGATACTACAGAATGAGTGTTTCAAACCTGCTCTATCAAAGTGAATGTTCAATTCTGTGACTTCAATGCAAACATCAGAAAGAAGTTTCTGAGAATGCTTCTCTCTAGATTTTATACGTAATCCCGCTTCCAACGAAATCCTCAGAGCCATCCGAATATCCACTTTCTGATTCCACAAAAAGAGTGTTTTAAAACGGCTCTGTAAAAACAAAAGTTCAACTCTGTTAGTTGAATACACACATCACAAACAAGTTTCTGAGAATGCTTCTGTCTAGTTTTTATGGGAAGATATTTCCTTTTTCACCATAGGCCTCAAAGCGCTCGAAATGTCCGCTTCCAGATAGTGCAGAAAGAGTGTTTCAAACGTGCTCTATAAAAGGGAATATTCAACTCTGTGACTTGAATGGAAACATCACAAAGCAGTTTCTGAGAATGCTTCCCTCTAGATTTTATATGGAGATATTCCCTTTTCCAACGAAATCTTCAAATCTATCTAAATATCAACTTGCAGATTCTACTCAAGGAATGTTTCCAAAATGCTGTATCCAGGCAATGGTTCAACTCTGTTAATTGAGGACATACAGCACAAAGAAGTTTCTGAGAATGCTTCTGTCTAGATTTTATATGAAGATATCCCGTTTCCAACGAAATCCTCAAAGCTATCCAAATATCCACTTGCAGATTCTACAAAAAGATTGTTTCAAAACTGCTGTGTCAAGAGGAAGGTTCAACTCTGTTACTTGAGTACACACATCAAAAAGAAGTTTCTGAGAATGCTTGTTTCTGGTTTTTATGAGAAGATATTTCCTTTTTCACCATAGGCCTCAAAGCGCTGCAAATGTCCACTTCCAAATATTACAAAAAGAGTGTTTCAAACCTGCTCTATGAAAGGAAGTTTTCAACTCTATGAGTGGAATGCAAACATCACAGAGAAGTTTCTGAGAACGCATCTGTCTTGAGCTTCTATGAAGAAATTCCCGTTTCCAACGAAATCTTAAAATCTATCCAAATATCCACCTGCAGATCCTACAAAAGGAGTGTTTCCAAAATGCTGTATCAAAACAAAGGTTCAACTGTGTTCGTTTAGGACACACATCACAAATAAGTTTCTGAGAATCCTTCTGTCTGGTTTTTATTTGAAGAGATTTCCTTTCTCCCCGTAGGCCTGAAAGCGCTTGAAATGTCCACTTCCAGATACTACAGAAAGAGTGTTTCAAACCTGCACTCTGAAAAGGAATGTTCAATTCTGTGACTTGAATGCAAACATCAGAAAGAAGTTCCTGAGAATGCTTCTCTCTAGATTTTATACGTCATCCCGTTTCCAACGAAATCCACAAAGCTATCCAATTATCCACTTTCAGATTCCACAAAGAGTGTTTTAAAATTGCTCTGTAACAGAAATGTTCAACTCTGTTAGTTGAATACACACATCACAAACAAGTTTCTGAGACGGCTTCTGTCTAGTTTTTATGGGAAGATATTTCCTTTTAACCATAGGCCTCAAAGAGCTCGAAATATCCACTTCCAGGTAGTGCCGAAAGAGTGTTTCAAACCTACTCTATAAAAGGGAATATTCAACTCTGTGACTTGAATGCAAACATCACAAAGCAGTTTCTGAGAATGCTTCCGTCTAGATTTTCTATGAAGATATTCCCGTTTCCAACGAAATCTTCAAAGCTATCTAAATATCAACTTGCAGATTCTACTAAAGGAATGTCTCCAAAATGCTGTATCCAAACAAAGGTTCAGCTCTGTGAATTGAGGACATACAGCACAAAGAAGTTTGCTGAGAATGCTCCTGTCTGGATTTTATATGAAGATAACCCGTTTCCAACGAAATCCTCAAATCTCTCCAAATATCCACTTGCAGATTCTACCAAAAGAGTGTTTCAAAACTGCTCTGTCAAAAGGAAGGTTCAACACTTGTTACTTGAGTACACACAACACAAAGAAGTTTCTGAGAATGCTTCTTTCTGGTTTTTATGAGAAGATATTTCCTTTTTCACCATAGGCCTCAAAGCGCTCGAAATGTCCGCTTCCAGGTAGTGCAGAAAGAGTGTTTCAAACCTGCTCTATGAAAGGAAGTGTTCAACTCTACTGAGTTGAATGCAAACATCACAGAGATGTTTCCGAGAATGCTTCTGTCTTGATTTTATATGAAGATATTCCGGTTTCCAACGAAATCTTCAAAGCTATCCAAATATCCACCTGCAGATTCTACAAAAGGAGTGTTTCCAAAATGCTGTATCAAAACAAAGGTTCAACTCTGTTAGTTGAGGACACACATCACAAATAAGTTTCTGAGAATGCTTCTGTCTAGTTTTTATTTGAAGGTATTTCCTTTCTCTCCATAGGCCTGAAAGCGCTTGAAATGCCCACTTCCAGATACTAGAGAAAGAGTGTTTCAAACCTGCTCTATGAAAGGGAATGTTCAATTCTGTGACTTGAATGCAAACATCACAAAGAAGTTCCTGAGAATGCTTCTCTCTAGATATTATATGTCATCCCGTTTCCAACGAAATCCTCAAAGCTATCCAAATATCCACTTGCAGATTCTACAAAAAGAGTGTTTCAAAACTGCTCTGTCAAAAGGATGGTTCAACACTGTTACATGAGTACACACAACACAAAGAAGTTTCTGAGAATGCTTCTTTCTGGTTTCTATGAGAAGATATTTCCTTTTTCACCATAGGACTCAAAGCGCTCGAAATGTCCTCTTCCAGGTAGTGCAGAAAGAGTGTTTCAAACCGGCTCTATGAAGGGAAGTGTTCAACTGCATGAACTGAATGCAAACATCACTGAGAAGTTTCTGAGAATGCTTCTGTTTGATTTTATATGAAGAAATTCCCGTTTCCAACGAAATCTTCAGAGCTATCCACATATCCACCTGCAGATTCTACAAAAGGAGTGTTTCCAAAATGCTGTATCAAAACCAAGGTTCAACTCTGTTAGTTGAGGACACACATCACAAATAAGTTTCTGAGAATGCTTCTGTCTAGATTTTATATGAAGATATCCCCTTTCCAACGAATCCCTCTAAGCTATCCAAATATCCACCTGCAGATTCTACAAAAAGAGTGTTTCCAAAATGCTGTATCAAAACAAAGTTTCAACTCTGTTAGTTGAGGACACACATCACAAATAAGTTTCTGAGGATGCTTCTGTCTAGTTTTTATTCGAAGATATTTCCTTTCTCACCATAGGCCTGAAAGCGCTTGAAATGTCCACTTCCAGATCCTACAGAATGAGTGTTTCAAACCTGCTCTATCAAAGTGAATGTTCAATTCTGTGACTTCAATGCAAACATCACAAAGAAGTTCCTGAGAATGCTTCTCTCTAGATTTTATATGTAATCCCGCTTCCAACGAAATCCTCAGAGCCATCCGAATATCCACTTTCTGATTCCACAAAAAGAGTGTTTTAAAACGGCTCTGTAAAAACAAAAGTTCAACTCTGTTAGTTGAATACACACATCACAAACAAGTTTCTGAGAATGCTTCTGTCTAGTTTTTATGGGAAGATATTTCCTTTTTCACCATAGGCCTCAAAGCGCTCGAAATGTCCACTTCCAGATAGCGCAGAAAGAGTGTTTCAAACGTGCTCTATAAAAGGGAATATTCAACTCTGTGACTTGAATGGAAACATCACAAAGCAGTTTCTGAGAATGCTTCCCTCTAGATTTTATATGGAGATATTCCGTTTTCGAACGAAATCTTCAAATCTATCTAAATATCAACTTGCAGATTCTACTCAAGGAATGTTTCCAAAATGCTGTATGCAAGCAATGGTTCAACTCTGTTAATTGAGGTCATACAGCACAAAGAAGTTTCTGAGAATGCTTCTGTCTAGATTTTATATGAAGATATCCCGTTTCCAACGAAATCCTCAAAGCTATCCAAATATCCACTTGCAGATTCTACAAAAAGATTGTTTCAAAACTGCTGTGTCAAAAGGAAGGTTCAACTCTGTTACTTGAGTACACACATCAAAAAGAAGTTTCTGAGAATGCTTGTTTCTGGTTTTTATGAGAAGATATTTCCTTTTTCACCATAGGCCTCAAAGCGCTGCAAATGTCCACTTCCAAATATTACAAAAAGAGTGTTTCAAACCTGCTCTATGAAAGGAAGTTTTCAACTCTATGAGTGGAATGCACACATCACAGAGAAGTTTCTGAGAATGCATCTGTCTTGAGTTTCTATGCAGAAATTCCCGTTTCCAACGAAATCTTAAAATCTATCCAAATATCCACCTGCAGATCCTACAAAAGGAGTGTTTCCAAAATGCTGTATCAAAACAAAGGTTCAACTGTGTTCGTTTAGGACACACATCACAAATAAGTTTCTGAGAACCCTTCTCTCTAGTTTTTATTTGAAGATATTTCCTTTCTCCCCATAGGCCTGAAAGCGCTTGAAATGTCCACTTCCAGATACTACAGAAAGAGTGTTTCAAACCTGCACTCTGAAAAGGAATGTTCAATTCTGTGACTTGAATGCAAACATCAGAAAGAAGTTCCTGAGAATGCTTCTCTCTAGATTTTATACGTCATCCCGTTTCCAACGAAATCCACAAAGCTATCCAATTATCCACTTTCAGATTCCACAAAAAGAGTGTTTTAAATTGCTCTGTAACAGAAATGTTCAACTCTGTTAGTTGAATACACACATCACAAACAAGTTTCTGAGACGGCTTCTGTCTAGTTTTTATGGGAAGATATTTCCTTTTAACCATAGGCCTCAAAGAGCTCGAAATATCCACTTCCAGGTAGTGCCGAAAGAGTGTTTCAAACCTACTCTATAAAAGGGAATATTCAACTCTGTGACTTGAATGCAAACATCACAAAGCAGTTTCTGAGAATGCTTCCGTCTAGATTTTCTATGAAGATATTCCCGTTTCCAACGAAATCTTCAAAGCTATCTAAATATCAACTTGCAGATTCTACTAAAGGAATGTCTCCAAAATGCTGTATCCAAACAAAGGTTCAGCTCTGTGAATTGAGGACATACAGCACAAAGAAGTTTCTGAGAATGCTCCTGTCTGGATTTTATATGAAGATAACCCGTTTCCAACGAAATCCTCAAAGCTCTCCAAATATCCACTTGCAGATTCTACCAAAAGAGTGTTTCAAAACTGCTCTGTCAAAAGGAAGGTTCAACACTGTTACTTGAGTACACACAACACAAAGAAGTTTCTGAGAATGCTTCTTTCTGGTTTTTATGAGAAGATATTTCCTTTTTCACCATAGGCCTCATAGCGCTGCAAGTGTCCACTTCCAAATATTACAAAAAGAGTGTTTCAAACCTGCTCTATGAAAGGAAGTTTTCAACTCTATGAGTGGAATGCAAACATCACAGAGAAGTTTCTGAGAATGCATCTGTCTTGAGTTTATATGAAGAAATTCCCGTTTCCAACGAAATCTTAAAATCTATCCAAATATCCACCTGCAGATCCTACAAAAGGAGTGTTTCCAAAATGCTGTATCAAAACAAAGGTTCAACTGTGTTCGTTTAGGACACACATCACAAATAAGTTTCTGAGAATCCTTCTGTCTAGTTTTTATTTGAAGATATTTCCTTTCACCCCGTAGGCCTGAAAGCGCTTGAAATGTCCACTTCCAGATACTACAGAAAGAGTGTTTCAAACCTGCACTATGAAAAGGAATGTTCAATTCTGTGACTTGAATGCAAACATCAGAAAGAAGTTCCTGAGAATGCTTCTCTCTAGATTTTATACGTCATCCCGTTTCCAACGAAATCCACAAAGCTATCCAGTTATCCAATTTCAGATTCCACAAAAAGAGTGTTTTAATATTGCTCTGTAACAGAAATGTTCAACTCTGTTAGTTGAATACACACATCACAAACAAGTTTCTGAGACGGCTTCTGTCTAGTTTCTATGGGAAGATATTTCCTTTTAACCATAGGCCTCAAAGAGCTCGAAATATCCACTTCCAGGTAGTGCCGAAAGAGTGTTTCAAACCTACTCTATAAAAGGGAATATTCAACTCTGTGACTTGAATGCAAACATCACAAAGCAGTTTCTGAGAATGCTTCCGTCTAGATTTTCTATGAAGATATTCCCGTTTCCAACGAAATCTTCAAAGCTATCTAAATATCAACTTGCAGATTCTACTAAAGGAATGTCTCCAAAATGCTGTATCCAAACAAAGGTTCAGCTCTGTGAATTGAGGACATACAGCACAAAGAAGTTTCTGAGAATGCTCCTGTCTGGATTTTATATGAAGATAACCCGTTTCCAACGAAATCCTCAAAGCTATCCAAATATCCACTTGCAGATTCTACCAAAAGAGTGTTTCAAAACTGCTCTGTCAAAAGGAAGGTTCAACACTGTTACTTGAGTACACACAACACAAAGAAGTTTCTGAGAATGCTTCTTTCTGGTTTTTATGAGAAGATATTTCCTTTTTCACCATAGGCCTCAAAGAGCTCGAAATGTCCGCTTCCAGGTAGGGCAGAAAGAGTGTTTCAAACCTGCTCTATGAAAGGAAGTGTTCAACTCTACTGAGTTGAATGCAAACATCACAGAGATGTTTCCGAGAATGCTTCTGTCTTGATTTTATATGAAGATATTCCGGTTTCTAACGAAATCTTCAAAGCTATCCAAATATCCACCTGCAGATTCTACAAAAGGAGTGTTTCCAAAATGCTGTATCAAAACAAAGGTTCAACTCTGTTAGTTGAGGACACACATCACAAATAAGTTTCTGAGAATGCTTCTGTCTAGTTTTTATTTGAAGGTATTTCCTTTCTCTCCATAGGCCTGAAAGCGCTTGAAATGCCCACTTCCAGATACTAGAGAAAGAGTGTTTCAAACCTGCTCTATGAAAGGGAATGTTCAATTCTGTGACTTGAATGCAAACATCACAAAGAAGTTCCTGAGAATGCTTCTCTCTAGATATTATATGTCATCCCGTTTCCAACGAAATCCTCAAAGCTATCCAAATATCCACTTGCAGATTCTACAAAAAGAGTGTTTCAAAACTGCTCTGTCAAAAGGATGGTTCAACACTGTTACATGAGTACACACAACACAAAGAAGTTTCTGAGAATGCTTCTTTCTGGTTTCTATGAGAAGATATTTCCTTTTTCACCATAGGACTCAAAGCGCTCGAAATGTCCTCTTCCAGGTAGTGCAGAAAGAGTGTTTCAAACCGGCTCTATGAAAGGAAGTGTTCAACTCCATGAACTGAATGCAAACATCACTGAGAAGTTTCTGAGAATGCTTCTGTTTGATTTTATATGAAGAAATTCCCGTTTCCAACGAAATCTTCAGAGCTATCCACATATCCACATGCAGATTCTACAAAAGGAGTGTTTCCAAAATGCTGTATCAAAACCAAGGTTCAACTCTGTTAGTTGAGGACACACATCACAAATAAGTTTCTGAGAATGCTTCTGTCTAGATTTTATATGAATTTATCCCCTTTCCAACGAATCCCTCTAAGCTATCCAAGTATCCACCTGCAGATTCTACAAAAAGAGTGTTTCCAAAATGCTGTATCAAAACAAAGTTTCAACTCTGTTAGTTGAGGACACACATCACAAATAAGTTTCTGAGGATGCTTCTGTCTAGTTTTAATTTGAAGATATTTCCTTTCTCCCCATAGGCCTGAAAGCGCTTGAAATGTCCACTTCCAGATACTACAGAATGAGTGTTTCAAACCTGCTCTATCAAAGTGAATGTTCAATTCTGTGACTTCAATGCAAACATCACAAAGTAGTTCCTGAGAATGCTTCTCTCTAGATTTTATATGTAATCCCGCTTCCAACGAAATCCTCAAAGCCATCCGAATATCCACTTTCTGATTCCACAAAAAGATTGTTTTAAAACTGCTCTGTAAAAACAAAAGTTCAAGTCTGTTAGTTGAATACACACATCACAATCAAGTTTCTGAGAATGCTTCTGTCTAGTTTTTATGGGAAGATATTTCCTTTTTCACCATAGGCCTCAAAGCGCTCGAAATGTCCACTTCCAGATAGTGCAGAAAGAGTGTTTCAAACGTGCTCTATAAAAGAGAATATTCAACTCTGTGACTTGAATGGAAACATCACAAAGCAGTTTCTGAGAATGCCTCCGTCTAGATTTTATATGAAGATATTCCCGTTTCCAACGAAATCTTCAAATCTATCTAAATATCAACTTGCACATTCTACTAAAGGAATGTTTCCAAAATGCTGTATCCAAGCAATGGTTCAACTCTGTTAATTGAGGACATACAGCACAAAGAAGTTTCTGAGAATGCTTCTGTCTAGATTTTATATGAAGATATCCCGTTTCCAACGAAATCCTCAAAGCTATCCAAATATCCACTTGCAGATTCTACAAAAAGATTGTTTCAAAACTGCTGTGTCAAAAGGAAGGTTCAACTCTGTTACTTGAGTACACACATCAAAAAGAAGTTTCTGAGAATGCTTGTTTCTGGTTTTTATGAGAAGATATTTCCTTTTTCACCATAGGCCTCAAAGCGCTGCAAATGTCCACTTCCACATATTACAAAAAGAGTGTTTCAAACCTGCTCTATGAAAGGAAGTTTTCAACTCTATGAGTGGAATGCAAACATCACAGAGAAGTTTCTGAGAATGCATCTGTCTTGAGTTTATATGAAGAAATTCCCGTTTCCAACGAAATCTTAAAATCTATCCAAATATCCACCTGCAGATTCTACAAAGGGAGTGTTTCCAAAATGCTGTATCAAAACAAAGGTTCAACTGTGTTCGTTTAGGACACACATCACCAATAAGTTTCTGAAAATCTTTCTGTCTAGTTTTTATTTGAAGATATTTTCTTTCTCCCCATAGGCCTGAAAGCGCTTGAAATGTCCACTTCCAGATACTACAGAAAGAGTGTTTCAAACCTGCACTATGAAAAGGAATGTTCAATTCTGTGACTTGAATGCAAACATCAGAAAGAAGTTCCTGAGAATGCTTCTCTCTAGATTTTAAACGTAATCCCGTTTCCAACGAAATCCACAAAGCTATCCAATTATCCACTTTCAGATTCCACCAAAACAGTGTTTTAAAACTGCTCTGTAAAAAGAAATGTTCAACGCTCTTAGTTGAATACACACATCTCAAACAAGTTTCTGAGAAGGCTTCCGTCTAGTTTTTATGGGAAGATATTTCCTTTTTCACCATAGGCCTCAAAGCGCTCGAAATCTCCACTTCCAGGGAGTGCAGAAAGAGTGTTTCAAACCTGCTCTATAAAAGAATATTTAACTCTGTGACTTGAATGCAAACATCACAAAGCAGTTTCTGACAATGCTTCCGTCTAGATTTTTTATGAAGCTATTCCCGTTTCCAACGAAATCTTAAAAGCTATCTAAATATCAACTTGCAGATTCTACTAAAGGAATGTTTCCAAAATGCTGTATCCAAACAAAGGTTCAACTCTGTGAATTGAGGACATACAGCACAAAGAAGTTTCTGAGAATGCTTCTGTCTAGATTTAATATGAAGATAACCCGTTTCCAACGAAATCCTCAAAGCTATCCAAATATCCACTTGCAGATTCTACAAAAAGAGTGTTTCAAAACTGCTCTGTCAAAAGGATGGTTCAACACTGTTACATGAGTACACACAACACAAAGAAGTTTCTGAGAACGCTTCTTTCTGGTTTCTATGAGAAGATATTTCCTTTTTCACCATACGACTCAAAGCGCTCGAAATGTCCTCTTCCAGGTAGTGCAGAAAGAGTGTTTCAAACCTGCTCTATGAAAGGAAGTGTACAACTCCATGAGCTGAATGCAAACATCACTGAGAAGTTTCTGAGAATGCTTCTGTTTGATTTTATATGAAGAAATTCCCGTTTCCAACGAAATCTTCAGAGCTATCCACATATCCACCTGCAGATTCTACAAAAGGAGTGTTTCCAAAATGCTGTATCAAAACCAAGGTTCAACTCTGTTAGTCGAGGACACACATCACAAATAAGTTTCTGAGAATGCTTCTGTCTAGATTTTATATGAAGATATCCCCTTTCCAACGAATCCCTCTAAGCTATCCAAATATCCACCTGCAGATTCTACAAAAAGAGTGTTTCCAAAATGCTGTATCAAAACAAAGTTTCAACTCTGTTAGTTGAGGACACACATCACAAATAAGTTTGAGGATGCTTCTGTCTAGTTTTTATTCGAAGATATTTCCTTTCTCACCATAGGCCTGAAAGCGCTTGAAATGTCCACTTCCAGATCCTACAGAATGAGTGTTTCAAACCTGCTCTATCAAAGTGAATGTTCAATTCTGTGACTTCAATGCAAACATCACAAAGAAGTTCCTGAGAATGCTTCTCTCTAGATTTTATACGTAATCCCGCTTCCAACGAAATCCTCAGAGCCATCCGAATATCCACTTTCTGATTCCACAAAAAGAGTGTTTTAAAACGGCTCTGTAAAAACAAAAGTTCAACTCTGTTAGTTGAATACACACATCACAAACAAGTTTCTGAGAATGCTTCTGTCTAGTTTTTATGGGAAGATATTTCCTTTTTCACCATAGGCCTCAAAGCGCTCGAAATGTCCGCTTCCAGATAGTGCAGAAAGAGTGTTTCAAACGTGCTCTATAAAAGGGAATATTCAACTCTGTGACTTGAATGGAAACATCACAAAGCAGTTTCTGAGAATGCTTCCCTCTAGATTTTATATGGAGATATTCCCTTTTCCAACGAAATCTTCAAATCTATCTAAATATCAACTTGCAGATTCTACTCAAGGAATGTTTCCAAAATGCTGTATCCAGGCAATGGTTCAACTCTGTTAATTGAGGACATACAGCACAAAGAAGTTTGCTGAGAATGCTTCTGTCTAGATTTTATATGAAGATATCCCGTTTCCAACGAAATCCTCAAAGCTATCCAAATATCCACTTACAGATTCTACAAAAAGATTGTTTCAAAACTGCTGTGTCAAAAGGAAGGTTCAACTCTGTTACTTGAGTACACACATCAAAAAGCAGTTTCTGAGAATGCTTGTTTCTGGTTTTTATGAGAAGATATTTCCTTTTTCACCATAGGCCTCAAAGCGCTGCAAATGTCCACTTCCAAATATTACAAAAAGAGTGTTTCAAACCTGCTCTATGAAAGGAAGTTTTCAACTCTGTGAGTGGAATGCAAACATCACAGAGAAGTTTCTGAGAATGCATCTGTCTTGAGTTTATATGAAGAAATTCCCGTTTCCAATGAAATCTTAAAATCTATCCAAATATCCACCTGCAGATCCTACAAAAGGAGTGTTTCCAAAATGCTGTATCAAAACAAAGGTTCAACTGTGTTCGTTTAGGACACACATCACAAATAAGTTTCTGAGAATCCTTCTGTCTAGTTTTTATTTCAAGATATTTCCTTTCTCCCCATAGGCCTGAAAGCGCTTGAAATGTCCACTTCCAGATACTACAGAGTGTTTCAAACCTGCACTATGAAAAGGAATGTTCAATTCTGTGACTTGAATGCAAACATCAGAAAGAAGTTCCTGAGAATGCTTCTCTCTAGATTTTAAACGTAATCCCGTTTCCAACGAAATCCACAAAGCTATCCAATTATCCACTTTCAGATTCCACCAAAAGACTGTTTTAAAACTGCTCTGTAAAAAGAAATGTTCAACGCTCTTAGTTGAATACACACATCTCAAACAAGTTTCTGAGAAGGCTTCCGTCTAGTTTTTATGGGAAGATATTTCCTTTTTCACCATAGGCCTCAAAGCGCTCGAAATCTCCACTTCCAGGGAGTGCAGAAAGAGTGTTTCAAACCTGCTCTATAAAAGAATATTTAACTCTGTGACTTGAATGCAAACATCACAGAGCAGTTTCTGACAATGCTTCCGTCTAGATTTTTTATGAAGGTATTCCCGTTTCCAACGAAATCTTCAAAGCTATCTAAATATCAACTTGCAGATTCTACTAAAGGAATGTTTCCAAAATGCTGTATCCAAACAAAGGTTCAACTCTGTGAATTGAGGACATACAGCACAAAGAAGTTTCTGAGAATGCTTCTGTCTAGATTTAATATGAAGATAACCCGTTTCCAACGAAATCCTCAAAGCTATCCAAATATCCACTTGCAGATTCTACAAAAAGAGTGTTTCAAAACTGCTCTGTCAAAAGGATGGTTCAACACTGTTACATGAGTACACACAACACAAAGAAGTTTCTGAGAACGCTTCTTTCTGGTTTTTATGAGAAGATATTTCCCTTTTCACCATAGGCCTCAAAGCGCTCGAAATGTCCACTTCCTGGTAGTGCAGAAAGAGTGTTTCAAACCTGCTCTATGAAAGGAAGTGTTCAACTCCATGAGCTGAATGCAAACATCACAGAGAAGTTTCTGAGAATGCTTCTGTTTGATTTTATATGAAGAAATTCCCGTTTCCAACGAAATCTTCAAAGCTATCCACATATCCACCTGCAGATTCTTCAAAAGGAGTGTTTCCAAAATGCTGTATCAAAACCAAGGTTCAACTCTGTTAGTTGAGGACACACATCACAAATAAGTTTCTGAGAATGCTTCTGTCTACATTTTATATGAAGATATCCCCTTTCCAACGAATCCCTCTAAGCTATCCAAGTATCCACCTGCAGATTCTACAAAAAGAGTGTTTCCAAAATGCTGTATCAAAACAAAGTTTCAACTCTGTTAGTTGAGGACACACATCACAAATAAGTTTCTGAGGATGCTTCTGTCTAGTTTTAATTTGAAGATATTTCCTTTCTCCCCATAGGCCTGAAAGCGCTTGAAATGTCCACTTCCAGATACTACAGAATGAGTGTTTCAAACCTGCTCTATCAAAGTGAATGTTCAATTCTGTGACTTCAATGCAAACATCACAAAGTAGTTCCTGAGAATGCTTCTCTCTAGATTTTATATGTAATCCCGCTTCCAACGAAATCCTCAAAGCCATCCGAATATCCACTTTCTGATTCCACAAAAAGATTGTTTTAAAACTGCTCTGTAAAAACAAAAGTTCAAGTCTGTTAGTTGAATACACACATCACAAACAAGTTTCTGAGAATGCTTCTGTCTAGTTTTTATGGGAAGATATTTCCTTTTTCACCATAGGCCTCAAAGCGCTCGAAATGTCCACTTCCAGATAGTGCCGAAAGAGTGTTTCAAACGTGCTCTATAAAAGGGAATATTCAACTCCTGTGACTTGAATGGAAACATCACAAAGCAGTTTCTGAGAATGCCTCCCTCTAGATTTTATATGGAGATATTCCGTTTTCGAACGAAATCTTCAAATCTATCTAAATATCAACTTGCAGATTCTACTCAAGGAATGTTTCCAAAATGCTGTATGCAAGCAATGGTTCAACTCTGTTAATTGAGGTCATACAGCACAAAGAAGTTTCTGAGAATGCTTCTGTCTAGATTTTATATGAAGATATCCCGTTTCCAACGAAATCCTCAAAGCTATCCAAATATCCACTTGCAGATTCTACAAAAAGATTGTTTCAAAACTGCTGTGTCAAGAGGAAGGTTCAACTCTGTTACTTGAGTACACACATCAAAAAGAAGTTTCTGAGAATGCTTGTTTCTGGTTTTTATGAGAAGATATTTCCTTTTTCACCATAGGCCTCAAAGCACTGCAAATGTCCAGTTCCAAATATTACAAAAAGAGTGTTTCAAACCTGCTCTATGAAAGGAAGTTTTCAACTCTATGAGTGGAATGCAAACATCACAGAGAAGTTTCTGAGAATGCATCTGTCTTGAGTTTATATGAAGAAATTCCCGTTTCCAATGAAATCTTAAAATCTATCCAAATATCCACCTGCAGATTCTACAAAAGGAGTGTTTCCAAAATGCTGTATCAAAACAAAGGTTCAACTGTGTTCGTTTAGGACACACATCACAAATAAGTTTCTGAGAATCCTTCTGTCTAGTTTTTATTTCAAGATATTTCCTTTCTCCCCATAGGCTTGAAAGCGCTTGAAATGTCCACTTCCAGATACTACAGAGTGTTTCAAACCTGCACTATGAAAAGGAATGTTCAATTCTGTGACTTGAATGCAAACATCAGAAAGAAGTTCCTGAGAATGCTTCTCTCTAGATTTTAAACGTAATCCCGTTTCCAACGAAATCCACAAAGCTATCCCGTTAACCACTTTCAGATTCCACCAAAAGAGTGTTTTAAAACAGCTCTGTAAAAAGAAATGTTCAACGCTCTTAGTTGAATACACACATCTCAAACAAGTTTCTGAGAAGGCTTCCGTCTAGTTTTTATGGGAAGATATTTCCTTTTTCACCATAGGCCTCAAAGCGCTCGAAATCTCCACTTCCAGGGAGTGCAGAAAGAGTGTTTCAAACCTGCTCTATAAAAGAATATTTAACTCTGTGACTTGAATGCAAACATCACAGAGCAGTTTCTGACAATGCTTCCGTCTAGATTTTTTATGAAGATATTCCCGTTTCCAACGAAATCTTCAAAGCTATCTAAATATCAACTTGCAGATTCTACTAAAGGAATGTTTCCAAAATGCTGTATCCAAACAAAGGTTCAACTCTGTGAATTGAGGACATACAGCACAAAGAAGTTTCTGAGAATGCTTCTGTCTAGATTTAATATGAAGATAACCCGTTTCCAACGAAATCCTCAAAGCTATCCAAATATCCACTTGCAGATTCTACAAAAAAAGTGTTTCAAAACTGCTCTGTCAAAAGGATGGTTCAACACTGTTACATGAGTACACACAACACAAAGAAGTTTCTGAGAACTCTTCTTTCTGGTTTTTATGAGAGGATATTTCCTTTTTCACCATAGGCCTCAAAGCGCTCGAAATGTCCACTTCCAGGTAGTGCAGAAAGAGTGTTTCAAACCTGCTCTATGAAAGGAAGTGTTCAACTCCATGAGCTGAATGCAAACATCACAGAGAAGTTCCTGAGAATGCTTCTGTTTGATTTTATATGAAGAAATTCCCGTTTCCAACGAAATCTTCAAAGCTATCCACATATCCACCTGCAGATTCTTCAAAAGGAGTGTTTCCAAAATGCTGTATCAAAACCAAGGTTCAACTCTGTTAGTTGAGGACACACATCACAAATAAGTTTCTGAGAATGCTTCTGTCTAGATTTTATATGAAGATATCCCCTTCCCAACGAATCCCTCTAAGCTATCCAAATATCCACCTGCAGATTCTACAAAAAGAGTGTTTCCAAAATGCTGTATCAAAACAAAGTTTCAACTCTGTTAGTTGAGGACACACATCACAAATAAGTTTCTGAGGATGCTTCTGTCTAGTTTTAATTTGAAGATATTTCCTTTCTCACCATAGGCCTGAAAGCGCTTGAAATGTCCACTTCCAGATAATACAGAATGAGTGTTTCAAACCTGCTCTATCAAAGTGAATGTTCAATTCTGTGACTTCAATGCAAACATCACAAAGTAGTTCCTGAGAATGCTTCTCTCTAGATTTTAAATGTAATCCCGCTTCCAACGAAATCCTCAAAGCCATCCGAATATCCACTTTCTGATTCCACAAAAAGATTGTTTTAAAACTGCTCTGTAAAAACAAAAGTTCAAGTCTGTTAGTTGAATACACACATCACAAACAAGTTTCTGAGAATGCTTCTGTATAGTTTTTATGGGAAGATACTTCCTTTTTCACCATAGGCCTCAAAGCGCTCGAAATGTCCACTTCCAGATAGTGCAGAAAGAGTGTTTCAAACGTGCTCTATAAAAGAGAATATTCAACTCTGTGACTTGAATGGAAACATCACAAAGCAGTTTCTGAGAATGCCTCCGTCTAGATTTTCTATGAAGATATTCCCGGTTCCAACGAAATCTTCAAAGCTATCTAAATATCAACTTGCAGATTCTACTAAAGGAATGTTTCCAAAATGCTGTATCCAAGCAATGGTTCAACTCTGTTAATTGAGGACATACAGCACAAAGAAGTTTCTGAGAATGCTTCTTTCTAGATTTTATATGAAGATATCCCGTTTCCAACGAAATCCTCAAAGCTATCCAAATATCCACTTGCAGATTCTACAGAAAGATTGTTTCAAAACTGCTGTGTCAAAAGGAAGGTTCAACTCTGTTACTTGAGTACAAACATCAAAAAGCAGTTTCTGAGAATGCTTGTTTCTGGTTTTTATGAGAAGATATTTCCTTTTTCACCATAGGCCTCAAAGCACTGCAAATGTCCGCTTCCAAATATTACAAAAAGAGTGTTTCAAACCTGCTCTATGAAAGGAAGTTTTCAACTCTATGAGTGGAATGCAAACATCACAGAGAAGTTTCTGAGAATGCATCTGTCTTGAGTTTCTATGCAGAAATTCCCGTTTCCAATGAAATCTTAAAATCTATCCAAATATCCACCTGCAGATCCTACAAAAGGAGTGTTTCCAAAATGCTGTATCAAAACAAAGGTTCAACTGTGTTCGCTTAGGACACACATCACAAATAAGTTTCTGAGAATCCTTCTGTCTAGTTTTTATTTGAAGATATTTCCTTTCTCCCCATAGGCCTGAAAGCGCTTGAAATGTCCACTTCCAGATACTACAGAAAGAGTGTTTCAAACCTGCACTCTGAAAAGGAATGTCAATTCTGTGACTTGAATGCAAACATCAGAAAGAAGTTCCTGAGAATGCTTCTCTCTAGATTTTATACGTCATCCCGTTTCCAACGAAATCCACAAAGCTATCCAATTATCCACTTTCAGATTCCACAAAAAGAGTGTTTTAAATTGCTCTGTAACAGAAATGTTCAACTCTGTTAGTTGAATACACACATCACAAACAAGTTTCTGAGACGGCTTCTGTCTAGTTTTTATGGGAAGATATTTCCTTTTAACCATAGGCCTCAAAGAGCTCGAAATATCCACTTCCAGGTAGTGCCGAAAGAGTGTTTCAAACCTACTCTATAAAAGGGAATATTCAACTCTGTGACTTGAATGCAAACATCACAAAGCAGTTTCTGAGAATGCTTCCGTCTAGATTTTCTATGAAGATATTCCCGTTTCCAACGAAATCTTCAAAGCTATCTAAATATCAACTTGCAGATTCTACTAAAGGAATGTCTCCAAAATGCTGTATCCAAACAAAGGTTCAGCTCTGTGAATTGAGGACATACAGCACAAAGAAGTTTCTGAGAATGCTCCTGTCTGGATTTTATAGGAAGATAACCCGTTTCCAACGAAATCCTCAAAGCTATCCAAATATCCACTTGCAGATTCTACCAAAAGAGTGTTTCAAAACTACTCTGTCAAAAGGAAGGTTCAACACTGTTACTTGAGTACACACAACACAAAGAAGTTTCTGAGAATGCTTCTTTCTGGTTTTTATGAGAAGATATTTCCTTTTTCACCATAGGCCTCAAAGCGCTCGAAATGTCCGCTTCCAGGTAGTGCAGAAAGAGTGTTTCAAACCTGCTCTATGAAAGGAAGTGTTCAACTCTACTGAGTTGAATGCAAACATCACAGAGATGTTTCCGAGAATGCTTCTGTCTTGATTTTATATGAAGATATTCCGGTTTCCAACGAAATCTTCAAAGCTATCCAAATATCCACCTGCAGATTCTACAAAAGGAGTGTTTCCAAAATGCTGTATCAAAACAAAGGTTCAACTCTGTTAGTTGAGGACACACATCACAAATAAGTTTCTGAGAATGCTTCTGTCTAGTTTTTATTTGAAGGTATTTCCTTTCTCTCCATAGGCCTGAAAGCGCTTGAAATGCCCACTTCCAGATACTAGAGAAAGAGTGTTTCAAACCTGCTCTATGAAAGGGAATGTTCAATTCTGTGACTTGAATGCAAACATCACAAAGAAGTTCCTGAGAATGCTTCTCTCTAGATATTATATGTCATCCCGTTTCCAACGAAATCCTCAAAGCTATCCAAATATCCACTTGCAGATTCTACAAAAAGAGTGTTTCAAAACTGCTCTGTCAAAAGGATGGTTCAACACTGTTACATGAGTACACACAACACAAAGAAGTTTCTGAGAATGCTTCTTTCTGGTTTCTATGAGAAGATATTTCCTTTTTCACCATAGGACTCAAAGCGCTCGAAATGTCCTCTTCCAGGTAGTGCAGAAACAGTGTTTCAAACCGGCTCTATGAAGGGAAGTGTTCAACTCCATGAACTGAATGCAAACATCACTGAGAAGTTTCTGAGAATGCTTCTGTTTGATTTTATATGAAGAAATTCCCGTTTCCAACGAAATCTTCAGAGCTATCCACATATCCACCTGCAGATTCTACAAAAGGAGTGTTTCCAAAATGCTGTATCAAAACCAAGGTTCAACTCTGTTAGTTGAGGACACACATCACAAATAAGTTTCTGAGAATGCTTCTGTCTAGATTTTATATGAAGATATCCCCTTTCCAACGAATCCCTCTAAGCTATCCAAATATCCACCTGCAGATTCTACAAAAAGAGTGTTTCCAAAATGCTGTATCAAAACAAAGTTTCAACTCTGTTAGTTGAGGACACACATCACAAATAAGTTTCTGAGGATGCTTCTGTCTAGTTTTTATTCGAAGATATTTCCTTTCTCACCATAGGCCTGACAGCGCTTGAAATGTCCACTTCCAGATCCTACAGAATGAGTGTTTCAAACCTGCTCTATCAAAGTGAATGTTCAATTCTGTGACTTCAATGCAAACATCACAAAGAAGTTCCTGAGAATGCTTCTCTCTAGATTTTAAATGTAATCCCGCTTCCAACGAAATCCTCAAAGCCATCCGAATATCCACTTTCTGATTCCACGAAAAGATTGTTTTAAAACTGCTCTGTAAAAACAAAAGTTCAAGTCTGTTAGTTGAATACACACATCACAAACAAGTTTCTGAGAATGCTTCTGTCTAGTTTTTATGGGAAGATATTTCCTTTTTCACCATAGGCCTCAAAGCGCTCGAAATGTCCACTTCCAGATAGTGCAGAAAGAGTGTTTCAAACGTGCTCTATAAAAGGGAATATTCAACTCTGTGACTTGAATGGAAACATCACAAAGCAGTTTCTGAGAATGCTTCCCTCTAGATTTTATATGGAGATATTCCCTTTTCCAACGAAATCTTCAAATCTATCTAAATATCAACTTGCAGATTCTACTCAAGGAATGTTTCCAAAATGCTGTATCCAAGCAATGGTTCAACTCTGTTAATTGAGGACATACAGCACAAAGAAGTTTCTGAGAATGCTTCTGTCTAGATTTTATATGAAGATATCCCGTTTCCAATGAAATCCTCAAAGCTATCCAAATATCCACTTGCAGATTCTACAAAAAGATTGTTTCAAAACTGCTGTGTCAAAAGGAAGGTTCAACTCTGTTACTTGAGTACACACATCAAAAAGCAGTTTCTGAGAATGCTTGTTTCTGGTTTTTATGAGAAGATATTTCCTTTTTCACCATAGGCCTCAAAGCGCTGCAAATGTCCACTTCCAAATATTACAAAAAGAGTGTTTCAAACCTGCTCTATGAAAGGAAGTTTTCAACTCTGTGAGTGGAATGCAAACATCACAGAGAAGTTTCTGAGAATGCATCTGTCTTGAGTTTATATGAAGAAATTCCCGTTTCCAATGAAATCTTAAAATCTATCCAAATATCCACCTGCAGATTCTACAAAAGAGTGCTTCCAAAATGCTATATCAAAACAAAGGTTCAACTGTGTTCGTTGAGAACACACATCACAAATAAGTTTTCTGAGAATCCTTCTGTCTAGTTTTTATTTCAAGATATTTCCTTTCTCCCCATAGGCCTGAAAGCCCTTGAAATGTCCACTTCCAGATACTACAGAGTGTTTCAAACCTGCACTATGAAAAGGAATGTTCAATTCTGTGACTTGAATGCAAACATCAGAAAGAAGTTCCTGAGAATGCTTCTCTCTAGATTTTAAACGTAATCCCGTTTGCAACGAAATCCACAAAGCTATCCAATTATCCACTTTCAGATTCCACCAAAAGACTGTTTTAAAACTGCTCTGTAAAAAGAAATGTTCAACGCTCTTAGTTGAATACACACATCTCAAACAAGTTTCTGAGAAGGCTTCCGTCTAGTTTTTATGGGAAGATATTTCCTTTTTCACCATAGGCCTCAAAGCGCTCGAAATCTCCACTTCCAGGGAGTGCAGAAAGAGTGTTTCAAACCTGCTCTATAAAAGAATATTTAACTCTGTGACTTGAATGCAAACATCACAGAGCAGTTTCTGACAATGCTTCCGTCTAGATTTTTTATGAAGATATTCCCGTTTCCAAAGAAATCTTCAAAGCTATCTCAATATCAACTTGCAGATTCTACTAAAGGAATGTTTCCAAAATGCTGTATCCAAACAAAGGTTCAACTCTGTGAATTGAGGACATACAGCACAAAGAAGTTTCTGAGAATGCTTCTGTCTAGATTTAATATGAAGATAACCCGTTTCCAACGAAATCCTCAAAGCTATCCAAATATCCACTTGCAGATTCTACAAAAAGAGTGTTTCAAAACTGCTCTGTCAAAAGGATGGTTCAACACTGTTACATGAGTACACACAACACAAAGAAGTTTCTGAGAACGCTTCTTTCTGGTTTTTATGAGAGGATATTTCCTTTTTCACCATAGGCCTCAAAGCGCTCGAAATGTCCACTTCCAGGTAGTGCAGAAAGAGTGTTTCAAACCTGCTCTATGAAAGGAAGTGTTCAACTCCATGAGCTGAATGCAAACATCACAGAGAAGTTCCTGAGAATGCTTCTGTTTGATTTTATATGAAGAAATTCCCGTTTCCAACGAAATCTTCAAAGCTATCCACATATCCACCTGCAGATTCTTCAAAAGGAGTGTTTCCAAAATGCTGTATCAAAACCAAGGTTCAACTCTGTTAGTTGAGGACACACATCACAAATAAGTTTCTGAGAATGCTTCTGTCTAGATTTTATATGAAGATATCCCCTTTCCAACGAATCCCTCTAAGCTATCCAAATATCCACCTGCAGATTCTACAAAAAGAGTGTTTCCAAAATGCTGTATCAAAACAAAGTTTCAACTCTGTTAGTTGAGGACACACATCACAAATAAGTTTCTGAGGATGCTTCTGTCTAGTTTTAATTTGAAGATATTTCCTTTCTCACCATAGGCCTGAAAGCGCTTGAAATGTCCACTTCCAGATACTACAGAATGAGTGTTTCAAACCTGCTCTATCAAAGTGAATGTTCAATTCTGTGACTTCAATGCAAACATCACAAAGTAGTTCCTGAGAATGCTTCTCTCTAGATTTTATATGTAATCCCGCTTCCAACGAAATCCTCAAAGCCATCCGAATATCCACTTTCTGATTCCACAAAAAGATTGTTTTAAAACTGCTCTGTAAAAACAAAAGTTCAAGTCTGTTAGTTGAATACACACATCACAAACAAGTTTCTGAGAATGCTTCTGTCTAGTTTTTATGGGAAGATATTTCCTTTTTCACCATAGGCCTCAAAGCGCTCGAAATGTCCACTTCCAGATAGTGCAGAAAGAGTGTTTCAAACGTGCTCTATAAAAGAGAATATTCAACTCTGTGACTTGAATGGAAACATCACAAAGCAGTTTCTGAGAATGCCTCCGTCTAGATTTTATATGAAGATATTCCCGTTTCCAACGAAATCTTCAAATCTATCTAAATATCAACTTGCAGATTCTACTAAAGGAATGTTTCCAAAATGCTGTATCCAAGCAATGGTTCAACTCTGTTAATTGAGGACATACAGCACAAAGAAGTTTCTGAGAATGCTTCTGTCTAGATTTTATATGAAGATATCCCGTTTCCAACGAAATCCTCAAAGCTATCCAAATATCCACTTGCAGATTCTACAAAAAGATTGTTTCAAAACTGCTGTGTCAAAAGGAAGGTTCAACTCTGTTACTTGAGTACACACATCAAAAAGCAGTTTCTGAGAATGCTTGTTTCTGGTTTTTATGAGAAGATATTTCCTTTTTCACCATAGGCCTCAAAGCGCTGCAAATGTCCACTTCCAAATATTACAAAAAGAGTGTTTCAAACCTGCTCTATGAAAGGAAGTTTTCAACTCTGTGAGTGGAATGCAAACATCACAGAGAAGTTTCTGAGAATGCATCTGTCTTGAGTTTATATGAAGAAATTCCCGTTTCCAATGAAATCTTAAAATCTATCCAAATATCCACCTGCAGATTCTACAAAAGGAGTGTTTCCAAAATGCTGTATCAAAACAAAGGTTCAACTGTGTTCGTTTAGGACACACATCACAAATAAGTTTCTGAGAATCCTTCTGTCTAGTTTTTATTTGAAGATATTTCCTTTCTCCCCACAGGCCTGAAAGCGCTTGAAATGTCCACTTCCAGATACTACAGAAAGAGTGTTTCAAACCTGCACTATGAAAAGGAATGTTCAATTCTGTGACTTGAATGCAAACATCAGAAAGAAGTTCCTGAGAATGCTTCTCTCTAGATTTTATACGTCATCCCGTTTCCAACGAAATCCACAAAGCTATCCAATTATCCACTTTCAGATTCCACAAAGAGTGTTTTAAAATTGCTCTGTAACAGAAATGTTCAACTCTGTTAGTTGAATACACACATCACAAACAAGTTTCTGAGACGGCTTCTGTCTAGTTTTTATGGGAAGATATTTCCTTTTAACCATAGGCCTCAAAGAGCTCGAAATATCCACTTCCAGGTAGTGCCGAAAGAGTGTTTCAAACCTACTCTATAAAAGGGAATATTCAACTCTGTGACTTGAATGCAAACATCACAAAGCAGTTTCTGAGAATGCTTCCGTCTAGATTTTCTATGAAGATATTCCCGTTTCCAACGAAATCTTCAAAGCTATCTAAATATCAACTTGCAGATTCTACTAAAGGAATGTCTCCAAAATGCTGTATCCAAACAAAGGTTCAGCTCTGTGAATTGAGGACATACAGCACAAAGAAGTTTCTGAGAATGCTCCTGTCTGGATTTTATAGGAAGATAACCCGTTTCCAACGAAATCCTCAAAGCTATCCAAATATCCACTTGCAGATTCTACCAAAAGAGTGTTTCAAAACTACTCTGTCAAAAGGAAGGTTCAACACTGTTACTTGAGTACACACAACACAAAGAAGTTTCTGAGAATGCTTCTTTCTGGTTTTTATGAGAAGATATTTCCTTTTTCACCATAGGCCTCAAAGCGCTCGAAATGTCCGCTTCCAGGTAGTGCAGAAAGAGTGTTTCAAACCTGCTCTATGAAAGGAAGTGTTCAACTCTACTGAGTTGAATGCAAACATCACAGAGATGTTTCCGAGAATGCTTCTGTCTTGATTTTATATGAAGATATTCCGGTTTCCAACGAAATCTTCAAAGCTATCCAAATATCCACCTGCAGATTCTACAAAAGGAGTGTTTCCAAAATGCTGTATCAAAACAAAGGTTCAACTCTGTTAGTTGAGGACACACATCACAAATAAGTTTCTGAGAATGCTTCTGTCTAGTTTTTATTTGAAGGTATTTCCTTTCTCTCCATAGGCCTGAAAGCGCTTGAAATGCCCACTTCCAGATACTAGAGAAAGAGTGTTTCAAACCTGCTCTATGAAAGGGAATGTTCAATTCTGTGACTTGAATACAAACATCACAAAGAAGTTCCTGAGAATGCTTCTCTCTAGATATTATATGTCATCCCGTTTCCAACGAAATCCTCAAAGCTATCCAAATATCCACTTGCAGATTCTACAAAAAGAGTGTTTCAAAACTGCTCTGTCAAAAGGATGGTTCAACACTGTTACATGAGTACACACAACACAAAGAAGTTTCTGAGAATGCTTCTTTCTGGTTTCTATGAGAAGATATTTCCTTTTTCACCATAGGACTCAAAGCGCTCGAAATGTCCTCTTCCAGGTAGTGCAGAAAGAGTGTTTCAAACCGGCTCTATGAAAGGAAGTGTTCAACTCCATGAACTGAATGCAAACATCACTGAGAAGTTTCTGAGAATGCTTCTGTTTGATTTTATATAAAGAAATTCCCGTTTCCAACGAAATCTTCAGAGCTATCCACATATCCATCTGCAGATTCTACAAAAGGAGTGTTTCCAAAATGCTGTATCAAAACCAAAGTTCAACTCTGTTAGTTGAGGACACACATCACAAATAAGTTTCTGAGAATGCTTCTGTCTAGATTTTATATGAAGATATCCCCTTTCCAACGAATCCCTCTAAGCTATCCAAATATCCACCTGCAGATTCTACAAAAAGAGTGTTTCCAAAATGCTGTATCAAAACAAAGTTTCAATTCTGTTAGTTGAGGACACACATCACAAATAAGTTTGAGGATGCTTCTGTCTAGTTTTTATTCGAAGATATTTCCTTTCTCACCATAGGCCTGAAAGCGCTTGAAATGTCCACTTCCAGATACTACAGAATGAGTGTTTCAAACCTGCTCTATCAAAGTGAATGTTCAATTCTGTGACTTCAATGCAAACATCACAAAGAAGTTCCTGAGAATGCTTCTCTCTAGATTTTATACGTAATCCCGCTTCCAACGAAATCCTCAGAGCCATCCGAATATCCACTTTCTGATTCCACAAAAAGAGTGTTTTAAAACGGCTCTGTAAAAACAAAAGTTCAACTCTGTTAGTTGAATACACACATCACAAACAAGTTTCTGAGAATGCTTCTGTCTAGTTTTTATGGGAAGATATTTCCTTTTTCACCATAGGCCTCAAAGCGCTCGAAATGTCCGCTTCCAGATAGTGCAGAAAGAGTGTTTCAAACGTGCTCTATAAAAGGGAATATTCAACTCTGTGACTTGAATGGAAACATCACAAAGCAGTTTCTGAGAATGCTTCCCTCTAGATTTTATATGGAGATATTCCCTTTTCCAACGAAATCTTCAAATCTATCTAAATATCAACTTGCGGATTCTACTCAAGGAATGTTTCCAAAATGCTGTATCCAGGCAATGGTTCAACTCTGTTAATTGAGGACATACAGCACAAAGAAGTTTCTGAGAATGCTTCTCTCTAGATTTTATATGAAGATATCCCGTTTCCAACGAAATCCTCAAAGCTATCCAAATATCCACTTGCAGATTCTACAAAAAGATTGTTTCAAAACTGCTGTGTCAAAAGGAAGGTTCAACTCTGTTACTTGAGTACACACATCAAAAAGAAGTTTCTGAGAATGCTTGTTTCTGGTTTTTATGAGAAGATATTTCCTTTTTCACCATAGGCCTCAAAGCGCTGCAAATGTCCACTTCCAAATATTACAAAAAGAGTGTTTCAAACCTGCTCTATGAAAGGAAGTTTTCAACTCTATGAGTGGAATGCAAACATCACAGAGAAGTTTCTGAGAATGCATCTGTCTTGAGTTTATGTGAAGAAATTCCCGTTTCCAACGAAATCTTAAAATCTCTCCAAATATCCACCTGCAGATCCTACAAAAGGAGTGTTTCCAAAATGCTGTATCAAAACAAAGGTTCAACTGTGTTCGTTTAGGACACACATCACAAATAAGTTTCTGAGAATCCTTCTGTCTAGTTTTTATTTGAAGATATTTCCTTTCTCCCCGTAGGCCTGAAAGCGCTTGAAATGTCCACTTCCAGATACTACAGAAAGAGTGCTTCAAACCTGCACTCTGAAAAGGAATGTTCAATTCTGTGACTTGAATGCAAACATCAGAAAGAAGTTCCTGAGAATGCTTCTCTCTAGATTTTATACGTCATCCCGTTTCCAACGAAATCCACAAAGCTATCCAATTATCCACTTTCAGATTCCACAAAAAGAGTGTTTTAAAATTGCTCTGTAACAGAAATGTTCAACTCTGTTAGTTGAATACACACATCACAAACAAGTTTCTGAGACGGCTTCTGTCTAGTTTTTATGGGAAGATATTTCCTTTTAACCATAGGCCTCAAAGAGCTCGAAATATCCACTTCCAGGTAGTGCCGAAAGAGTGTTTCAAACCTACTCTATAAAAGGGAATATTCAACTCTGTGACTTGAATGCAAACATCACAAAGCAGTTTCTGAGAATGCTTCCGTCTAGATTTTCTATGAAGATATTCCCGTTTCCAACGAAATCTTCAAAGCTATCTAAATATCAACTTGCAGATTCTACTAAAGGAATGTCTCCAAAATGCTGTATCCAAACAAAGGTTCAGCTCTGTGAATTGAGGACATACAGCACAAAGAAGTTTCTGAGAATGCTCCTGTCTGGATTTTATATGAAGATAACCCGTTTCCAATGAAATCCTCAAAGCTATCCAAATATCCACTTGCAGATTCTACCAAAAGAGTGTTTCAAAACTGCTCTGTCAAAAGGAAGGTTCAACACTGTTACTTGAGTACACACAACACAAAGAAGTTTCTGAGAATGCTTCTTTCTGGTTTTTATGAGAAGATATTTCCTTTTTCACCATAGGCCTCAAAGCGCTCGAAATGTCCACTTCCAGGTAGTGCAGAAAGAGTGTTTCAAACCTGCTCTATGAAAGGAAGTGTTCAACTCTACTGAGTTGAATGCAAACATCACAGAGATGTTTCCGAGAATGCTTCTGTCTTGATTTTATAGGAAGATATTCCGGTTTCCAACGAAATCTTCAAAGCTATCCAAATATCCACCTGCAGATTCTACAAAAGGAGTGTTTCCAAAATGCTGTATCAAAACAAAGGTTCAACTCTGTTAGTTGAGGACACACATCAAAAATAAGTTTCTGAGAATGCTTCTGTCTAGTTTTTATTTGAAGGTATTTCCTTTCTCTCCATAGGCCTGAAAGCGCTTGAAATGCCCACTTCCAGATACTAGAGAAAGAGTGTTTCAAACCTGCTCTATGAAAGGGAATGTTCAATTCTGTGACTTGAATGCAAACATCACAAAGAAATTCCTGAGAATGCTTCTCTCTAGATATTATATGTCATCCCGTTTCCAACGAAATCCTCAAAGCTATCCAAATATCCACTTGCAGATTCTACAAAAAGAGTGTTTCAAAACTGCTCTGTCAAAAGGATGGTTCAACACTGTTACATGAGTACACACAACACAAAGAAGTTTCTGAGAATGCTTCTTTCTGGTTTCTATGAGAAGATATTTCCTTTTTCACCATAGGACTCAAAGCGCTCGAAATGTCCTCTTCCAGGTAGTGCAGAAAGAGTGTTTCAAACCGGCTCTATGAAGGGAAGTGTTCAACTCCATGAACTGAATGCAAACATCACTGAGAAGTTTCTGAGAATGCTTCTGTTTGATTTTATATGAAGAAATTCCCGTTTCCAACGAAATCTTCAGAGCTATCCACATATCCACCTGCAGATTCTACAAAAGGAGTGTTTCCAAAATGCTGTATCAAAACCAAGGTTCAACTCTGTTAGTTGAGGACACACATCACAAATAAGTTTCTGAGAATGCTTCTGTCTAGATTTTATATGAAGATATCCCCTTTCCAACGAATCCCTCTAAGCTATCCAAATATCCACCTGCAGATTCTACAAAAAGAGTGTTTCCAAAATGCTGTATCAAAACAAAGTTTCAACTCTGTTAGTTGAGGACACACATCACAAATAAGTTTCTGAGGATGCTTCTGTCTAGTTTTTATTCGAAGATATTTCCTTTCTCACCATAGGCCTGAAAGCGCTTGAAATGTCCACTTCCAGATCCTACAGAATGAGTGTTTCAAACCTGCTCTATCAAAGTGAATGTTCAATTCTGTGACTTCAATGCAAACATCACAAAGAAGTTCCTGAGAATGCTTCTCTCTAGATTTTATATGTAATCCCGCTTCCAACGAAATCCTCAGAGCCATCCGAATATCCACTTTCTGATTCCACAAAAAGAGTGTTTTAAAACGGCTCTGTAAAAACAAAAGTTCAACTCTGTTAGTTGAATACACACATCACAAACAAGTTTCTGAGAATGCTTCTGTCTAGTTTTTATGGGAAGATATTTCCTTTTTCACCATAGGCCTCAAAGCGCTCGAAATGTCCACTTCCAGATAGTGCAGAAAGAGTGTTTCAAACGTGCTCTATAAAAGGGAATATTCAACTCTGTGACTTGAATGGAAACATCACAAAGCAGTTTCTGAGAATGCTTCCCTCTAGATTTTATATGGAGATATTCCCTTTTCCAACGAAATCTTCAAATCTATCTAAATATCAACTTGCAGATTCTACTCAAGGAATGTTTCCAAAATGCTGTATCCAAGCCATGGTTCAACTCTGTTAATTGAGGACATACAGCACAAAGAAGTTTCTGAGAATGCTTCTGTCTAGATTTTATATGAAGATATCCCGTTTCCAACGAAATCCTCAAAGCTATCCAAATATCCACTTGCAGATTCTACAAAAAGATTGTTTCAAAACTGCTGTGTCAAAAGGAAGGTTCAACTCTGTTACTTGAGTACACACATCAAAAAGAAGTTTCTGAGAATGCTTGTTTCTGGTTTTTATGAGAAGATATTTCCTTTTTCACCATAGGCCTCAAAGCGCTGCAAATGTCCACTTCCAAATATTACAAAAAGAGTGTTTCAAACCTGCTCTATGAAAGGAAGTTTTCAACTCTATGAGTGGAATGCAAACATCACAGAGAAGTTTCTGAGAATGCATCTGTCTTGAGTTTCTATGCAGAAATTCCCGTTTCCAACGAAATCTTAAAATCTATCCAAATATCCACCTGCAGATCCTACAAAAGGAGTGTTTCCAAAATGCTGTATCAAAACAAAGGTTCAACTGTGTTCGTTTAGGACACACATCACAAATAAGTTTCTGAGAATCCTTCTGTCTAGTTTTTATTTGAAGATATTTCCTTTCTCCCCGTAGGCCTGAAAGCGCTTGAAATGTCCACTTCCAGATACTACAGAAAGAGTGTTTCAAACCTGCACTCTGAAAAGGAATGTTCAATTCTGTGACTTGAATGCAAACATCAGAAAGAAGTTCCTGAGAATGCTTCTCTCTAGATTTTATACGTCATCCCGTTTCCAACGAAATCCACAAAGCTATCCAATTATCCACTTTCAGATTCCACAGAAAGAGTGTTTTAAAATTGCTCTGTAACAGAAATGTTCAACTCTGGTAGTTGAATACACACATCACAAACAAGTTTCTGAGACGGCTTCTGTCTAGTTTTTATGGGAAGATATTTCCTTTTAACCATAGGCCTCAAAGAGCTCGAAATATCCACTTCCAGGTAGTGCCGAAAGAGTGTTTCAAACCTACTCTATAAAAGGGAATATTCAACTCTGTGACTTGAATGCAAACATCACAAAGCAGTTTCTGAGAATGCTTCCGTCTAGATTTTCTATGAAGATATTCCCGTTTCCAACGAAATCTTCAAAGCTATCTAAATATCAACTTGCAGATTCTACTAAAGGAATGTCTCCAAAATGCTGTATCCAAACAAAGGTTCAGCTCTGTGAATTGAGGACATACAGCACAAAGAAGTTTCTGAGAATGCTCCTGTCTGGATTTTATATGAAGATAACCCGTTTCCAACGAAATCCTCAAAGCTATCCAAATATCCACTTGCAGATTCTACCAAAAGAGTGTTTCAAAACTGCTCTGTCAAAAGGAAGGTTCAACACTGTTACTTGAGTACACACAACACAAAGAAGTTTCTGAGAATGCTTCTTTCTGGTTTTTATGAGAAGATATTTCCTTTTTCACCATAGGCCTCAAAGCGCTCGAAATGTCCGCTTCCAGGTAGGGCAGAAAGAGTGTTTCAAACCTGCTCTATGAAAGGAAGTGTTCAACTCTACTGAGTTGAATGCAAACATCACAGAGATGTTTCCGAGAATGCTTCTGTCTTGATTTTATATGAAGATATTCCGGTTTCCAACGAAATCTTCAAAGCTATCCACATATCCACCTGCAGATTCTACAAAAGGAGTGTTTCCAAAATGCTGTATCAAAACAAAGGTTCAACTCTGTTAGTTGAGGACACACATCACAAATAAGTTTCTGAGAATGCTTCTGTCTAGTTTTTATTTGAAGGTATTTCCTTTCTCTCCATAGGCCTGAAAGCGCTTGAAATGCCCACTTCCAGATACTAGAGAAAGAGTGTTTCAAACCTGCTCTATGAAAGGGAATGTTCAATTCTGTGACTTGAATGCAAACATCACAAAGAAGTTCCTGAGAATGCTTCTCTCTAGATATTATATGTCATCCCGTTTCCAACGAAATCCTCAAAGCTATCCAAATATCCACTTGCAGATTCTACAAAAAGAGTGTTTCAAAACTGCTCTGTCAAAAGGATGGTTCAACACTGTTACATGAGTACACACAACACAAAGAAGTTTCTGAGAATGCTTCTTTCTGGTTTCTATGAGAAGATATATCCTTTTTCACCATAGGACTCAAAGCGCTCGAAATGTCCTCTTCCAGGTAGTGCAGAAAGAGTGTTTCAAACCTGCTCTATGAAAGGAAGTGTACAACTCCATGAGCTGAATGCAAACATCACTGAGAAGTTTCTGAGAATGCTTCTGTTTGATTTTATATGAAGAAATTCCCGTTTCCAACGAAATCTTCAGAGCTATCCACATATCCACCTGCAGATTCTACAAAAGGAGTGTTTCCAAAATGCTGTATCAAAACCAAGGTTCAACTCTGTTAGTTGAGGACACACATCACAAATAAGTTTCTGAGAATGCTTCTGTCTAGATTTTATATGAAGATATCCCCTTTCCAACGAATCCCTCTAAGCTATCCAAATATCCACCTGCAGATTCTACAAAAAGAGTGTTTCCAAAATGCTGTATCAAAACAAAGTTTCAACTCTGTTAGTTGAGGACACACATCACAAATAAGTTTGAGGATGCTTCTGTCTAGTTTTTATTCGAAGATATTTCCTTTCTCACCATAGGCCTGAAAGCGCTTGAAATGTCCACTTCCAGATACTACAGAATGAGTGTTTCAAACCTGCTCTATCAAGGTGAATGTTCAATTCTGTGACTTCAATGCAAACATCACAAAGAAGTTCCTGAGAATGCTTCTCTCTAGATTTTATACGTAATCCCGCTTCCAACGAAATCCTCAGAGCCATCCGAATATCCACTTTCTGATTCCACAAAAAGAGTGTTTTAAAACGGCTCTGTAAAAACAAAAGTTCAACTCTGTTAGTTGAATACACACATCACAAACAAGTTTCTGAGAATGCTTCTGTCTAGTTTTTATGGGAAGATATTTCCTTTTTCACCATAGGCCTCAAAGCGCTCGAAATGTCCGCTTCCAGATAGTGCAGAAAGAGTGTTTCAAACGTGCTCTATAAAAGGGAATATTCAACTCTGTGACTTGAATGGAAACATCACAAAGCAGTTTCTGAGAATGCTTCCCTCTAGATTTTATATGGAGATATTCCCTTTTCCAACGAAATCTTCAAATCTATCTAAATATCAACTTGCAGATTCTACTCAAGGAATGTTTCCAAAATGCTGTATCCAGGCAATGGTTCAACTCTGTTAATTGAGGACATACAGCACAAAGAAGTTTCTGAGAATGCTTCTGTCTAGATTTTATATGAAGATATCCCGTTTCCAACGAAATCCTCAAAGCTATCCAAATATCCACTTGCAGATTCTACAAAAAGATTGTTTCAAAACTGCTGTGTCAAGAGGAAGGTTCAACTCTGTTACTTGAGTACACACATCAAAAAGAAGTTTCTGAGAATGCTTGTTTCTGGTTTTTATGAGAAGATATTTCCTTTTTCACCATAGGCCTCAAAGCGCTGCAAATGTCCACTTCCAAATATTACAAAAAGAGTGTTTCAAACCTGCTCTATGAAAGGAAGTTTTCAACTCTATGAGTGGAATGCAAACATCACAGAGAAGTTTCCTAGAATGCATCTGTCTTGAGCTTCTATGAAGAAATTCCCGTTTCCAACGAAATCTTAAAATCTATCCAAATATCCACCTGCAGATCCTACAAAAGGAGTGTTTCCAAAATGCTGTATCAAAACAAAGGTTCAACTGTGTTCGTTTAGGACACACATCACAAATAAGTTTCTGAGAATCCTTCTGTCTAGTTTTTATTTGAAGATATTTCCTTTCTCCCCGTAGGCCTGAAAGCGCTTGAAATGTCCACTTCCAGATACTACAGAAAGAGTGTTTCAAACCTGCACTCTGAAAAGGAATGTTCAATTCTGTGACTTGAATGCAAACATCAGAAAGAAGTTCCTGAGAATGCTTCTCTCTAGATTTTATACGTCATCCCGTTTCCAACGAAATCCACAAAGCTATCCAATTATCCACTTTCAGATTCCACAAAAAGAGTGTTTTAAAATTGCTCTGTAACAGAAATGTTCAACTCTGTTAGTTGAATACACACATCACAAACAAGTTTCTGAGACGGCTTCTGTCTAGTTTTTATGGGAAGATATTTCCTTTTAACCATAGGCCTCAAAGAGCTCGAAATATCCACTTCCAGGTAGTGCCGAAAGAGTGTTTCAAACCTACTCTATAAAAGGGATTATTCAACTCTGTGACTTGAATGCAAACATCACAAAGCAGTTTCTGAGAATGCTTCCGTCTAGATTTTCTATGAAGATATTCCCGTTTCCAACGAAATCTTCAAAGCTATCTAAATATCAACTTGCAGATTCTACTAAAGGAATGTCTCCAAAATGCTGTATCCAAACAAAGGTTCAGCTCTGTGAATTGAGGACATACAGCACAAAGAAGTTTCTGAGAATGCTCCTGTCTGGATTTTATAGGAAGATAACCCGTTTCCAACGAAATCCTCAAAGCTATCCAAATATCCACTTGCAGATTCTACCAAAAGAGTGTTTCAAAACTGCTCTGTCAAAAGGAAGGTTCAACACTGTTACTTGAGTACACACAACACAAAGAAGTTTCTGAGAATGCTTCTTTCTGGTTTTTATGAGAAGATATTTCCTTTTTCACCATAGGCCTCAAAGCGCTCGAAATGTCCGCTTCCAGGTAGTGCAGAAAGAGTGTTTCAAACCTGCTCTATGAAAGGAAGTGTTCAACTCTACTGAGTTGAATGCAAACATCACAGAGATGTTTCCGAGAATGCTTCTGTCTTGATTTTATATGAAGATATTCCGGTTTCCAACGAAATCTTCAAAGCTATCCAAATATCCACCTGCAGATTCTACAAAAGGAGTGTTTCCAAAATGCTGTATCAAAACAAAGGTTCAACTCTGTTAGTTGAGGACACACATCACAAATAAGTTTCTGAGAATGCTTCTGTCTAGATTTTATATGAAGATATCCCCTTTCCAACGAATCCCTCTAAGCTATCAAAATATCCACCTGCAGATTCTACAAAAAGAGTGTTTCCAAAATGCTGTATCTAAACAAAGTTTTAACTCTGTTAGTTGAGGACACACATCACAAATAAGTTTCTGAGGATGCTTCTGTCTAGTTTTTATTCGAAGATATTTCCTTTCCCACCATAGGCCTGAAAGCGCTTAAAATGTCCACTTCCAGATACTACAGAATGAGTGTTTCAATCCTGCTCTATCAAAGTGAATGTTCAATTCTGTGACTTCAATGCAAACATCACAAAGAAGTTCCTGAGAATGCTTCTCTCTAGCATTTTATATGTAATCCCGCTTCCAACGAAATCCTCAGAGCCATCCGAATATCCACTTTCTGATTCCACAAAAAGAGTGTTTTAAAACGGCTCTGTAAAAACAAAAGTTCAACTCTGTTAGTTGAATACACACATCACAAACAAGTTTCTGAGAATGCTTCTGTCTAGTTTTTATGGGAAGATATTTCCTTTTTCACCATAGGCCTCAAAGCGCTCGAAATGTCCACTTCCAGATAGTGCAGAAAGAGTGTTTCAAACGTGCTCTATAAAAGGGAATATTCAACTCTGTGACTTGAATGGAAACATCACAAAGCAGTTTCTGAGAATGCTTCCCTCTAGATTTTATATGGAGATATTCCCTTTTCCAACGAAATCTTCAAATCTATCTAAATATCAACTTGCAGATTCTACTCAAGGAATGTTTCCAAAATGCTGTATCCAAGCAATGGTTCAACTCTGTTAATTGAGGACATACAGCACAAAGAAGTTTCTGAGAATGCTTCTGTCTAGATTTTATATGAAGATATCCCGTTTCCAACGAAATCCTCAAAGCTATCCAAATATCCACTTGCAGATTCTACAAAAAGATTGTTTCGAAACTGCTGTGTCAAGAGGAAGGTTCAACTCTGTTACTTGAGTACACACATCAAAAAGAAGTTTCTGAGAATGCTTGTTTCTGGTTTTTATGAGAAGATATTTCCTTTTTCACCATAGGCCTCAAAGCGCTGCAAATGTCCACTTCCAAATATTACAAAAAGAGTGTTTCAAACCTGCTCTATGAAAGGAAGTTTTCAACTCTATGAGTGGAATGCAAACATCACAGAGAAGTTTCTGAGAATGCATCTGTCTTGAGTTTCTATGCAGAAATTCCCGTTTCCAATGAAAATCTTAAAATCTATCCAAATATCCACCTGCAGATTCTACAAAAGGAGTGTTTCCAAAATGCTGTATCAAAACAAAGGTTCAACTGTGTTCGCTTAGGACACACATCACAAATAAGTTTCTGAGAATCCTTCTGTCTAGTTTTTATTTGAAGATATTTCCTTTCTCCCCATAGGCCTGAAAGCGCTTGAAATGTCCACTTCCAGATACTACAGAAAGAGTGTTTCAAACCTGCACTCTGAAAAGGAATGTCAATTCTGTGACTTGAATGCAAACATCAGAAAGAAGTTCCTGAGAATGCTTCTCTCTAGATTTTATACGTCATCCCGTTTCCAACGAAATCCACAAAGCTACCCAATTATCCACTTTCAGATTCCACAAAAAGAGTGTTTTAAAATTGCTCTGTAACAGAAATGTTCAACTCTGTTAGTTGAATACACACATCACAAACAAGTTTCTGAGACGGCTTCTGTCTAGTTTTTATGGGAAGATATTTCCTTTTAACCATAGGCCTCAAAGAGCTCGAAATATCCACTTCCAGGTAGTGCCGAAAGAGTGTTTCAAACCTACTCTATAAAAGGGAATATTCAACTCTGTGACTTGAATGCAAACATCACAAAGCAGTTTCTGAGAATGCTTCCGTCTAGATTTTCTATGAAGATATTCCCGTTTCCAACGAAATCTTCAAAGCTATCTAAATATCAACTTGCAGATTCTACTAAAGGAATGTCTCCAAAATGCTGTATCCAAACAAAGGTTCAGCTCTGTGAATTGAGGACATACAGCACAAAGAAGTTTCTGAGAATGCTCCTGTCTGGATTTTATAGGAAGATAACCCGTTTCCAACGAAATCCTCAAAGCTATCCAAATATCCACTTGCAGATTCTACCAAAAGAGTGTTTCAAAACTGCTCTGTCAAAAGGAAGGTTCAACACTGTTACTTGAGTACACACAACACAAAGAAGTTTCTGAGAATGCTTCTTTCTGGTTTTTATGAGAAGATATTTCCTTTTTCACCATAGGCCTCAAAGCGCTCGAAATGTCCGCTTCCAGGTAGTGCAGAAAGAGTGTTTCAAACCTGCTCTATGAAAGGAAGTGTTCAACTCTACTGAGTTGAATGCAAACATCACAGAGATGTTTCCGAGAATGCTTCTGTCTTGATTTTATATGAAGATATTCCGGTTTCCAACGAAATCTTCAAAGCTATCCAAATATCCACCTGCAGATTCTACAAAAGGAGTGTTTCCAAAATGCTGTATCAAAACAAAGGTTCAACTCTGTTAGTTGAGGACACACATCACAAATAAGTTTCTGAGAATGCTTCTGTCTAGTTTTTATTTGAAGGTATTTCCTTTCTCTCCATAGGCCTGAAAGCGCTTGAAATGCCCACTTCCAGATACTAGAGAAAGAGTGTTTCAAACCTGCTCTATGAAAGGGAATGTTCAATTCTGTGACTTGAATGCAAACATCACAAAGAAGTTCCTGAGAATGCTTCTCTCTAGATATTATATGTCATCCCGTTTCCAACGAAATCCTCAAAGCTATCCAAATATCCACTTGCAGATTCTACAAAAAGAGTGTGTCAAAACTCCTCTGTCAAAAGGATGGTTCAACACTGTTACATGAGTACACACAACACAAAGAAGTTTCTGAGAATGCTTCTTTCTGGTTTCTATGAGAAGATATTTCCTTTTTCACCATAGGACTCAAAGCGCTCGAAATGTCCTCTTCCAGGTAGTGCAGAAAGAGTGTTTCAAACCGGCTCTATGAAGGGAAGTGTTCAACTCCATGAACTGAATGCAAACATCACTGAGAAGTTTCTGAGAATGCTTCTGTTTGATTTTATATGAAGAAATTCCCGTTTCCAACGAAATCTTCAGAGCTATCCACATATCCACCTGCAGATTCTACAAAAGGAGTGTTTCCAAAATGCTGTATCAAAACCAAGGTTCAACTCTGTTAGTTGAGGACACACATCACAAATAAGTTTCTGAGAATGCTTCTGTCTAGATTTTATATGAAGATATCCCCTTTCCAACGAATCCCTCTAAGCTATCCAAATATCCACCTGCAGATTCTACAAAAAGAGTGTTTCCAAAATGCTGTATCAAAACAAAGTTTCAACTCTGTTAGTTGAGGACACACATCACAAATAAGTTTCTGAGAATGCTTCTGTCTAGTTTTTATTCGAAGATATTTCCTTTCTCACCATAGGCCTGAAAGCGCTTGAAATGTCCACTTCCAGATACTACAGAATGAGTGTTTCAAACCTGCTCTATCAAAGTGAATGTTCAATTCTGTGACTTCAATGCAAACATCACAAAGAAGTTCCTGAGAATGCTTCTCTCTAGATTTTATACGTAATCCCGCTTCCAACGAAATCCTCAGAGCCATCCGAATATCCACTTTCTGATTCCACAAAAAGAGTGTTTTAAAACGGCTCTGTAAAAACAAAAGTTCAACTCTGTTAGTTGAATACACACATCACAAACAAGTTTCTGAGAATGCTTCTGTCTAGTTTTTATGGGAAGATATTTCCTTTTTCACCATAGGCCTCAAAGCGCTCGAAATGTCCGCTTCCAGATAGTGCAGAAAGAGTGTTTCAAACGTGCTCTATAAAAGGGAATATTCAACTCTGTGACTTGAATGGAAACATCACAAAGCAGTTTCTGAGAATGCTTCCCTCTAGATTTTATATGGAGATATTCCCTTTTCCAACGAAATCTTCAAATCTATCTAAATATCAACTTGCAGATTCTACTCAAGGAATGTTTCCAAAATGCTGTATGCAAGCAATGGTTCAACTCTGTTAATTGAGGTCATACAGCACAAAGAAGTTTCTGAGAATGCTTCTGTCTAGATTTTATATGAAGATATCCCGTTTCCAACGAAATCCTCAAAGCTATCCAAATATCCACTTGCAGATTCTACAAAAAGATTGTTTCAAAACTGCTGTGTCAAGAGGAAGGTTCAACTCTGTTACTTGAGTACACACATCAAAAAGAAGTTTCTGAGAATGCTTGTTTCTGGTTTTTATGAGAAGATATTTCCTTTTTCACCATAGGCCTCAAAGCGCTGCAAATGTCCACTTCCAAATATTACAAAAAGAGTGTTTCAAACCTGCTCTATGAAAGGAAGTTTTCAACTCTATGAGTGGAATGCAAACATCACAGTAGAAGTTTCTGAGAATGCATCTGTCTTGAGCTTCTATGAAGAAATTCCCGTTTCCAACGAAATCTTAAAATCTATCCAAATATCCACCTGCAGATCCTACAAAAGGAGTGTTTCCAAAATGCTGTATCAAAACAAAGGTTCAACTGTGTTCGTTTAGGACACACATCACAAATAAGTTTCTGAGAATCCTTCTGTCTGGTTTTTATTTGAAGAGATTTCCTTTCTCCCCGTAGGCCTGAAAGCGCTTGAAATGTCCACTTCCAGATACTACAGAAAGAGTGTTTCAAACCTGCACTCTGAAAAGGAATGTTCAATTCTGTGACTTGAATGCAAACATCAGAAAGAAGTTCCTGAGAATGCTTCTCTCTAGATTTTATACGTCATCCCGTTTCCAACGAAATCCACAAAGCTATCCAATTATCCACTTTCAGATTCCACAAAAAGAGTGTTTTAAAATTGCTCTGTAACAGAAATGTTCAACTCTGTTAGTTGAATACACACATCACAAACAAGTTTCTGAGACGGCTTCTGTCTAGTTTTTATGGGAAGATATTTCCTTTTAACCATAGGCCTCAAAGAGCTCGAAATATCCACTTCCAGGTAGTGCCGAAAGAGTGTTTCAAACCTACTCTATAAAAGGGAATATTCAACTCTGTGACTTGAATGCAAACATCACAAAGCAGTTTCTGAGAATGCTTCCGTCTAGATTTTCTATGAAGATATTCCCGTTTCCAACGAAATCTTCAAAGCTATCTAAATATCAACTTGCAGATTCTACTAAAGGAATGTCTCCAAAATGCTGTATCCAAACAAAGGTTCAGCTCTGTGAATTGAGGACATACAGCACAAAGAAGTTTCTGAGAATGCTCCTGTCTGGATTTTATAGGAAGATAACCCGTTTCCAACGAAATCCTCAAAGCTATCCAAATATCCACTTGCAGATTCTACCAAAAGAGTGTTTCAAAACTGCTCTGTCAAAAGGAAGGTTCAACACTGTTACTTGAGTACACACAACACAAAGAAGTTTCTGAGAATGCTTCTTTCTGGTTTTTATGAGAAGATATTTCCTTTTTCACCATAGGCCTCAAAGCGCTCGAAATGTCCGCTTCCAGGTAGTGCAGAAAGAGTGTTTCAAACCTGCTCTATGAAAGGAAGTGTTCAACTCTACTGAGTTGAATGCAAACATCACAGAGATGTTTCCGAGAATGCTTCTGTCTTGATTTTATATGAAGATATTCCGGTTTCCAACGAAATCTTCAAAGCTATCCAAATATCCACCTGCAGATTCTACAAAAGGAGTGTTTCCAAAATGCTGTATCAAAACAAAGGTTCAACTCTGTTAGTTGAGGACACACATCACAAATAAGTTTCTGAGAATGCTTCTGTCTAGTTTTTATTTGAAGGTATTTCCTTTCTCTCCATAGGCCTGAAAGCGCTTGAAATGCCCACTTCCAGATACTAGAGAAAGAGTGTTTCAAACCTGCTCTATGAAAGGGAATGTTCAATTCTGTGACTTGAATGCAAACATCACAAAGAAGTTCCTGAGAATGCTTCTCTCTAGATATTATATGTCATCCCGTTTCCAACGAAATCCTCAAAGCTATCCAAATATCCACTTGCAGATTCTACAAAAAGAGTGTTTCAAAACTCCTCTGTCAAAAGGATGGTTCAACACTGTTACATGAGTACACACAACACAAAGAAGTTTCTGAGAATGCTTCTTTCTGGTTTCTATGAGAAGATATTTCCTTTTTCACCATAGGACTCAAAGCGCTCGAAATGTCCTCTTCCAAGTAGTGCAGAAAGAGTGTTTCAAACCTGCTCTATGAAAGGAAGTGTACAACTCCATGAGCTGAATGCAAACATCACTGAGAAGTTTCTGAGAATGCTTCTGTTTGATTTTATATGAAGAAATTCCCGTTTCCAACGAAATCTTCAGAGCTATCCACATATCCACCTGCAGATTCTACAAAAGGAGTGTTTCCAAAATGCTGTATCAAAACCAAGGTTCAACTCTGTTAGTTGAGGACACACATCACAAATAAGTTTCTGAGAATGCTTCTGTCTAGATTTTATATGAAGATATCCCCTTTCCAACGAATCCCTCTAAGCTATCCAAATATCCACCTGCAGATTCTACAAAAAGAGTGTTTCCAAAATGCTGTATCAAAACAAAGTTTCAACTCTGTTAGTTGAGGACACACATCACAAATAAGTTTCTGAGGATGCTTCTGTCTAGTTTTTATTCGAAGATATTTCCTTTCTCACCATAGGCCTGAAAGCGCTTGAAATGTCCACTTCCAGATACTACAGAATGAGTGTTTCAAACCTGCTCTATAAAAGTGAATGTTCAATTCCGTGACTTCAATGCAAACATCAGAAAGAAGTTCCTGAGAATGCTTCTCTCTAGATTTTATACGTAATCCCGCTTCCAACGAAATCCTCAGAGCCATCCGAATATCCACTTTCTGATTCCACAAAAAGAGTGTTTTAAAACGGCTCTGTAAAACAAAAGTTCAACTCTGTTAGTTGAATACACACATCACAAACAAGTTTCTGAGAATGCTTCTGTCTAGTTTTTATGGGAAGATATTTCCTTTTTCACCATAGGCCTCAAAGCGCTCGAAATGTCCGCTTCCAGATAGTGCAGAAAGAGTGTTTCAAACGTGCTCTATAAAAGGGAATATTCAACTCTGTGACTTGAATGGAAACATCACAAAGCAGTTTCTGAGAATGCTTCCCTCTAGATTTTATATGGAGATATTCCCTTTTCCAACGAAATCTTCAAATCTATCTAAATATCAACTTGCAGATTCTACTCAAGGAATGTTTCCAAAATGCTGTATCCAGGCAATGGTTCAACTCTGTTAATTGAGGACATACAGCACAAAGAAGTTTCTGAGAATGCTTCTGTCTAGATTTTATATGAAGATATCCCGTTTCCAACGAAATCCTCAAAGCTATCCAAATATCCACTTGCAGATTCTACAAAAAGATTGTTTCAAAACTGCTGTGTCAAAAGGAAGGTTCAACTCTGTTACTTGAGTACACACATCAAAAAGAAGTTTCTGAGAATGCTTGTTTCTGGTTTTTATGAGAAGATATTTCCTTTTTCACCATAGGCCTCAAAGCGCTGCAAATGTCCACTTCCAAATATTACAAAAAGAGTGTTTCAAACCTGCTCTATGAAAGGAAGTTTTCAACTCTATGAGTGGAATGCAAACATCACAGAGAAGTTTCTGAGAATGCATCTGTCTTGAGTTTATATGAAGAAATTCCCGTTTCCAACGAAATCTTAAAATCTATCCAAATATCCACCTGCAGATTCTACAAAAGGAGTGTTTCCAAAATGCTGTATCAAAACAAAGGTTCAACTGTGTCCGTTTAGGACACACATCACCAATAAGTTTCTGAGAATCCTTCTCTCTAGTTTTTATTTGAAGATATTTCCTTTCTCCCCATAGGCCTGAAAGCGCTTGAAATGTCCACTTCCAGATACTACAGAAAGAGTGTTTCAAACCTGCACTATGAAAAGGAATGTTCAATTCTGTGACTTGAATGCAAACATCAGAAAGAAGTTCCTGAGAATGCTTCTCTCTAGATTTTATACGTCATCCCGTTTCCAACGAAATCCACAAAGCTATCCAATTATCCACTTTCAGATTCCACAAAAAGAGTGTTTTAAAATTGCTCTGTAACAGAAATGTTCAACTCTGTTAGTTGAATACACACATCACAAACAAGTTTCTGAGACGGCTTCTGTCTAGTTTTTATGGGAAGATATTTCCTTTTAACCATAGGCCTCAAAGAGCTCGAAATATCCACTTCCAGGTAGTGCCGAAAGAGTGTTTCAAACCTACTCTATAAAAGGGAATATTCAACTCTGTGACTTGAATGCAAACATCACAAAGCAGTTTCTGAGAATGCTTCCGTCTAGATTTTCTATGAAGATATTCCCGTTTCCAACGAAATCTTCAAAGCTATCTAAATATCAACTTGCAGATTCTACTAAAGGAATGTCTCCAAAATGCTGTATCCAAACAAAGGTTCAGCTCTGTGAATTGAGGACATACAGCACAAAGAAGTTTCTGAGAATGCTCCTGTCTGGATTTTATATGAAGATAACCCGTTTCCAACGAAATCCTCAAAGCTATCCAAATATCCACTTGCAGATTCTACCAAAAGAGTGTTTCAAAACTGCTCTGTCAAAACGAAGGTTCAACACTGTTACTTGAGTACACACAACACAAAGAAGTTTCTGAGAATGCTTCTTTCTGGTTTTTATGAGAAGATATTTCCTTTTTCACCATAGGCCTCAAAGAGCTCGAAATGTCCGCTTCCAGGTAGGGCAGAAAGAGTGTTTCAAACCTGCTCTATGAAAGGAAGTGTTCAACTCTACTGAGTTGAATGCAAACATCACAGAGATGTTTCCGAGAATGCTTCTGTCTTGATTTTATATGAAGATATTCCGGTTTCCAACGAAATCTTCAAAGCTATCCAAATATCCACCTGCAGATTCTACAAAAGGAGTGTTTCCAAAATGCTGTATCAAAACAAAGGTTCAACTCTGTTAGTTGAGGACACACATCACAAATAAGTTTCTGAGAATGCTTCTGTCTAGTTTTTATTTGAAGGTATTTCCTTTCTCTCCATAGGCCTGAAAGCGCTTGAAATGCCCACTTCCAGATACTAGAGAAAGAGTGTTTCAAACCTGCTCTATGAAAGGGAATGTTCAATTCTGTGACTTGAATGCAAACATCACAAAGAAGTTCCTGAGAATGCTTCTCTCTAGATATTATATGTCATCCCGTTTCCAACGAAATCCTCAAAGCTATCCAAATATCCACTTGCAGATTCTACAAAAAGAGTGTTTCAAAACTGCTCTGTCAAAAGGATGGTTCAACACTGTTACATGAGTACACACAACACAAAGAAGTTTCTGAGAATGCTTCTTTCTGGTTTCTATGAGAAGATATTTCCTTTTTCACCATAGGACTCAAAGCGCTCGAAATGTCCTCTTCCAGGTAGTGCAGAAAGAGTGTTTCAAACCGGCTCTATGAAAGGAAGTGTTCAACTCCATGAACTGAATGCAAACATCACTGAGAAGTTTCTGAGAATGCTTCTGTTTGATTTTATATGAAGAAATTCCCGTTTCCAACGAAATCTTCAGAGCTATCCACATATCCACCTGCAGATTCTACAAAAGGAGTGTTTCCAAAATGCTGTATCAAAACCAAAGTTCAACTCTGTTAGTTGAGGACACACATCACAAATAAGTTTCTGAGAATGCTTCTGTCTAGATTCTATATGAAGATATCCCCTTTCCAACGAATCCCTCTAAGCTATCCAAATATCCACCTGCAGATTCTACAAAAAGAGTGTTTCCAAAATGCTGTATCAAAACAAAGTTTCAACTCTGTTAGTTGAGGACACACATCACAAATAAGTTTGAGGATGCTTCTGTCTAGTTTTTATTCGAAGATATTTCCTTTCTCACCATAGGCCTGAAAGCGCTTGAAATGTCCACTTCCAGATACTACAGAATGAGTGTTTCAAACCTGCTCTATCAAAGTGAATGTTCAATTCTGTGACTTCAATGCAAACATCACAAAGAAGTTCCTGAGAATGCTTCTCTCTAGATTTTATATGTAATCCCGCTTCCAACGAAATCCTCAGAGCCATCCGAATATCCACTTTCTGATTCCACAAAAAGAGTGTTTTAAAACGGCTCTGTAAAAACAAAAGTTCAACTCTGTTAGTTGAATACACACATCACAAACAAGTTTCTGAGAATGCTTCTGTCTAGTTTTTATGGGAAGATATTTCCTTTTTCACCATAGGCCTCAAAGCGCTCGAAATGTCCACTTCCAGATAGCGCAGAAAGAGTGTTTCAAACGTGCTCTATAAAAGGGAATATTCAACTCTGTGACTTGAATGGAAACATCACAAAGCAGTTTCTGAGAATGCTTCCCTCTAGATTTTATATGGAGATATTCCGTTTTCGAACGAAATCTTCAAATCTATCTAAATATCAACTTGCAGATTCTACTCAAGGAATGTTTCCAAAATGCTGTATGCAAGCAATGGTTCAACTCTGTTAATTGAGGTCATACAGCACAAAGAAGTTTCTGAGAATGCTTCTGTCTAGATTTTATATGAAGATATCCCGTTTCCAACGAAATCCTCAAAGCTATCCAAATATCCACTTGCAGATTCTACAAAAAGATTGTTTCAAAACTGCTGTGTCAAAAGGAAGGTTCAACTCTGTTACTTGAGTACACACATCAAAAAGAAGTTTCTGAGAATGCTTGTTTCTGGTTTTTATGAGAAGATATTTCCTTTTTCACCATAGGCCTCAAAGCGCTGCAAATGTCCACTTCCAAATATTACAAAAAGAGTGTTTCAAACCTGCTCTATGAAAGGAAGTTTTCAACTCTATGAGTGGAATGCACACATCACAGAGAAGTTTCTGAGAATGCATCTGTCTTGAGTTTCTATGCAGAAATTCCCGTTTCCAACGAAATCTTAAAATCTATCCAAATATCCACCTGCAGATCCTACAAAAGGAGTGTTTCCAAAATGCTGTATCAAAACAAAGGTTCAACTGTGTTCGTTTAGGACACACATCACAAATAAGTTTCTGAGAACCCTTCTGTCTAGTTTTTATTTGAAGATATTTCCTTTCTCCCCATAGGCCTGAAAGCGCTGGAAATGTCCACTTCCAGATAGTACAGAAAGAGTGTTTCAAACCTGCACTATGAAAAGGAATGTTCAATTCTGTGACTTGAATGCAAACATCAGAAAGAAGTTTCTGAGAATGCTTCTCTCTAGATTTTATACGTCATCCCGTTTCCAACGAAATCCACAAAGCTATCCAATTATCCACTTTCAGATTCCACAAAAAGAGTGTTTTAAAATTGCTCTGTAACAGAAATGTTCAACTCTGTTAGTTGAATACACACATCACAAACAAGTTTCTGAGACGGCTTCTGTCTAGTTTTTATGGGAAGATATTTCCTTTTAACCATAGGCCTCAAAGAGCTCGAAATATCCACTTCCAGGTAGTGCCGAAAGAGTGTTTCAAACCTACTCTATAAAAGGGAATATTCAACTCTGTGACTTGAATGCAAACATCACAAAGCAGTTTCTGAGAATGCTTCCGTCTAGATTTTCTATGAAGATATTCCCGTTTCCAACGAAATCTTCAAAGCTATCTAAATATCAACTTGCAGATTCTACTAAAGGAATGTCTCCAAAATGCTGTATCCAAACAAAGGTTCAGCTCTGTGAATTGAGGACATACAGCACAAAGAAGTTTCTGAGAATGCTCCTGTCTGGATTTTATAGGAAGATAACCCGTTTCCAACGAAATCCTCAAAGCTATCCAAATATCCACTTGCAGATTCTACCAAAAGAGTGTTTCAAAACTGCTCTGTCAAAAGGAAGGTTCAACACTGTTACTTGAGTACACACAACACAAAGAAGTTTCTGAGAATGCTTCTTTCTGGTTTTTATGAGAAGATATTTCCTTTTTCACCATAGGCCTCAAAGCGCTCGAAATGTCCGCTTCCAGGTAGTGCAGAAAGAGTGTTTCAAACCTGCTCTATGAAAGGAAGTGTTCAACTCTACTGAGTTGAATGCAAACATCACAGAGATGTTTCCGAGAATGCTTCTGTCTTGATTTTATATGAAGATATTCCGGTTTCCAACGAAATCTTCAAAGCTATCCAAATATCCACCTGCAGATTCTACAAAAGGAGTGTTTCCAAAATGCTGTATCAAAACAAAGGTTCAACTCTGTTAGTTGAGGACACACATCACAAATAAGTTTCTGAGAATGCTTCTGTCTAGTTTTTATTTGAAGGTATTTCCTTTCTCTCCATAGGCCTGAAAGCGCTTGAAATGCCCACTTCCAGATACTAGAGAAAGAGTGTTTCAAACCTGCTCTATGAAAGGGAATGTTCAATTCTGTGACTTGAATGCAAACATCACAAAGAAGTTCCTGAGAATGCTTCTCTCTAGATATTATATGTCATCCCGTTTCCAACGAAATCCTCAAAGCTATCCAAATATCCACTTGCAGATTCTACAAAAAGAGTGTTTCAAAACTGCTCTGTCAAAAGGATGGTTCAACACTGTTACATGAGTACACACAACACAAAGAAGTTTCTGAGAATGCTTCTTTCTGGTTTCTATGAGAAGATATTTCCTTTTTCACCATAGGACTCAAAGCGCTCGAAATGTCCTCTTCCAGGTAGTGCAGAAAGAGTGTTTCAAACCGGCTCTATGAAAGGAAGTGTTCAACTCCATGAACTGAATGCAAACATCACTGAGAAGTTTCTGAGAATGCTTCTGTTTGATTTTCTATGAAGAAATTCCCGTTTCCAACGAAATCTTCAGAGCTATCCACATATCCACCTGCAGATTCTACAAAAGGAGTGTTTCCAAAATGCTGTATCAAAACCAAAGTTCAACTCTGTTAGTTGAGGACACACATCACAAATAAGTTTCTGAGAATGCTTCTGTCTAGATTCTATATGAAGATATCCCCTTTCCAACGAATCCCTCTAAGCTATCCAAATATCCACCTGCAGATTCTACAAAAAGAGTGTTTCCAAAATGCTGTATCAAAACAAAGTTTCAACTCTGTTAGTTGAGGACACACATCACAAATAAGTTTGAGGATGCTTCTGTCTAGTTTTTATTCGAAGATATTTCCTTTCTCACCATAGGCCTGAAAGCGCTTGAAATGTCCACTTCCAGATACTACAGAATGAGTGTTTCAAACCTGCTCTATCAAAGTGAATGTTCAATTCTGTGACTTCAATGCAAACATCACAAAGAAGTTCCTGAGAATGCTTCTCTCTAGATTTTATACGTAATCCCGCTTCCAACGAAATCCTCAGAGCCATCCGAATATCCACTTTCTGATTCCACAAAAAGAGTGTTTTAAAACGGCTCTGTAAAAACAAAAGTTCAACTCTGTTAGTTGAATACACACATCACAAACAAGTTTCTGAGAATGCTTCTGTCTAGTTTTTATGGGAAGATATTTCCTTTTTCACCATAGGCCTCAAAGCGCTCGAAATGTCCGCTTCCAGATAGTGCAGAAAGAGTGTTTCAAACGTGCTCTATAAAAGGGAATATTCAACTCTGTGACTTGAATGGAAACATCACAAAGCAGTTTCTGAGAATGCTTCCCTCTAGATTTTATATGGAGATATTCCCTTTTCCAACGAAATCTTCAAATCTATCTAAATATCAACTTGCAGATTCTACTCAAGGAATGTTTCCAAAATGCTGTATCCAGGCAATGGTTCAACTCTGTTAATTGAGGACATACAGCACAAAGAAGTTTCTGAGAATGCTTCTGTCTAGATTTTATATGAAGATATCCCGTTTCCAACGAAATCCTCAAAGCTATCCAAATATCCACTTGCAGATTCTACAAAAAGATTGTTTCAAAACTGCTGTGTCAAGAGGAAGGTTCAACTCTGTTACTTGAGTACACACATCAAAAAGAAGTTTCTGAGAATGCTTGTTTCTGGTTTTTATGAGAAGATATTTCCTTTTTCACCATAGGCCTCAAAGCGCTGCAAATGTCCACTTCCAAATATTACAAAAAGAGTGTTTCAAACCTGCTCTATGAAAGGAAGTTTTCAACTCTATGAGTGGAATGCAAACATCACAGAGAAGTTTCTGAGAATGCATCTGTCTTGAGCTTCTATGAAGAAATTCCCGTTTCCAACGAAATCTTAAAATCTATCCAAATATCCACCTGCAGATCCTACAAAAGGAGTGTTTCCAAATGCTGTATAAAAACAAAGGTTCAACTGTGTTCGTTTAGGACACACATCACAAATAAGTTTCTGAGAATCCTTCTCTCTAGTTTTTATTTGAAGATATTTCCTTTCTCCCCGTAGGCCTGAAAGCGCTTGAAATGTCCACTTCCAGATACTACAGAAAGAGTGTTTCAAACCTGCACTCTGAAAAGAATGTTCAATTCTGTGACTTGAATGCAAACATCAGAAAGAAGTTCCTGAGAATGCTTCTCTCTAGATTTTATACGTCATCCCGTTTCCAACGAAATCCACAAAGCTATCCAATTATCCACTTTCAGATTCCACAAAAAGAGTGTTTTAAAATTGCTCTGTAACAGAAATGTTCAACTCTGTTAGTTGAATACACACATCACAAACAAGTTTCTGAGACGGCTTCTGTCTAGTTTTTATGGGAAGATATTTCCTTTTAACCATAGGCCTCAAAGAGCTCGAAATATCCACTTCCAGGTAGTGCCGAAAGAGTGTTTCAAACCTACTCTATAAAAGGGAATATTCAACTCTGTGACTTGAATGCAAACATCACAAAGCAGTTTCTGAGAATGCTTCCGTCTAGATTTTCTATGAAGATATTCCCGTTTCCAACGAAATCTTCAAAGCTATCTAAATATCAACTTGCAGATTCTACTAAAGGAATGTCTCCAAAATGCTGTATCCAAACAAAGGTTCAGCTCTGTGAATTGAGGACATACAGCACAAAGAAGTTTCTGAGAATGCTCCTGTCTGGATTTTATAGGAAGATAACCCGTTTCCAACGAAATCCTCAAAGCTATCCAAATATCCACTTGCAGATTCTACCAAAAGAGTGTTTCAAAACTACTCTGTCAAAAGGAAGGTTCAACACTGTTACTTGAGTACACACAACACAAAGAAGTTTCTGAGAATGCTTCTTTCTGGTTTTTATGAGAAGATATTTCCTTTTTCACCATAGGCCTCAAAGCGCTCGAAATGTCCGCTTCCAGGTAGTGCAGAAAGAGTGTTTCAAACCTGCTCTATGAAAGGAAGTGTTCAACTCTACTGAGTTGAATGCAAACATCACAGAGATGTTTCCGAGAATGCTTCTGTCTTGATTTTATATGAAGATATTCCGGTTTCCAACGAAATCTTCAAAGCTATCCAAATATCCACCTGCAGATTCTACAAAAGGAGTGTTTCCAAAATGCTGTATCAAAACAAAGGTTCAACTCTGTTAGTTGAGGACACACATCACAAATAAGTTTCTGAGAATGCTTCTGTCTAGTTTTTATTTGAAGGTATTTCCTTTCTCTCCATAGGCCTGAAAGCGCTTGAAATGCCCACTTCCAGATACTAGAGAAAGAGTGTTTCAAACCTGCTCTATGAAAGGGAATGTTCAATTCTGTGACTTGAATGCAAACATCACAAAGAATTTCCTGAGAATGCTTCTCTCTAGTATATTATATGTCATCCCGTTTCCAACGAAATCCTCAAAGCTATCCAAATATCCACTTGCAGATTCTACAAAAAGAGTGTTTCAAAACTCCTCTGTCAAAAGGATGGTTCAACACTGTTACATGAGTACACACAACACAAAGAAGTTTCTGAGAATGCTTCTTTCTGGTTTCTATGAGAAGATATTTCCTTTTTCACCATAGGACTCAAAGCGCTCGAAATGTCCTCTTCCAGGTAGTGCAGAAAGAGTGTTTCAAACCTGCTCTATGAAAGGAAGTGTACAACTCCATGAGCTGAATGCAAACATCACTGAGAAGTTTCTGAGAATGCTTCTGTTTGATTTTATATGAAGAAATTCCCGTTTCCAACGAAATCTTCAGAGCTATCCACATATCCACATGCAGATTCTACAAAAGGAGTGTTTCCAAAATGCTGTATCAAAACCAAGGTTCAACTCTGTTAGTTGAGGACACACATCACAAATAAGTTTCTGAGAATGCTTCTGTCTAGATTCTATATGACGATATCCCCTTTCCAACGAATCCCTCTAAGCTATCCAAATATCCACCTGCAGATTCTACAAAAAGAGTGTTTCCAAAATGCTGTATCAAAACAAAGTTTCAACTCTGTTAGTTGAGGACACACATCACAAATAAGTTTGAGGATGCTTCTGTCTAGTTTTTATTCGAAGATATTTCCTTTCTCACCATAGGCCTGAAAGCGCTTGAAATGTCCACTTCCAGATACTACAGAATGAGTGTTTCAAACCTGCTCTATCAAAGTGAATGTTCAATTCTGTGACTTCAATGCAAACATCACAAAGAAGTTCCTGAGAATGCTTCTCTCTAGATTTTATATGTAATCCCGCTTCCAACGAAATCCTCAGAGCCATCCGAATATCCACTTTCTGATTCCACAAAAAGAGTGTTTTAAAACGGCTCTGTAAAAACAAAAGTTCAACTCTGTTAGTTGAATACACACATCACAAACAAGTTTCTGAGAATGCTTCTGTCTAGTTTTTATGGGAAGATATTTCCTTTTTCACCATAGGCCTCACAGCGCTCGAAATGTCCACTTCCAGATAGTGCAGAAAGAGTGTTTCAAACGTGCTCTATAAAAGGGAATATTCAACTCTGTGACTTGAATGGAAACATCACAAAGCAGTTTCTGAGAATGCTTCCCTCTAGATTTTATATGGAGATATTCCGTTTTCGAACGAAATCTTCAAATCTATCTAAATATCAACTTGCAGATTCTACTCAAGGAATGTTTCCAAAATGCTGTATGCAAGCAATGGTTCAACTCTGTTAATTGAGGTCATACAGCACAAAGAAGTTTCTGAGAATGCTTCTGTCTAGATTTTATATGAAGATATCCCGTTTCCAACGAAATCCTCAAAGCTATCCAAATATCCACTTGCAGATTCTACAAAAAGATTGTTTCAAAACTGCTGTGTCAAAAGGAAGGTTCAACTCTGTTACTTGAGTACACACATCAAAAAGAAGTTTCTGAGAATGCTTGTTTCTGGTTTTTATGAGAAGATATTTCCTTTTTCACCATAGGCCTCAAAGCGCTGCAAATGTCCACTTCCAAATATTACAAAAAGAGTGTTTCAAACCTGCTCTATGAAAGGAAGTTTTCAACTCTATGAGTGGAATGCACACATCACAGAGAAGTTTCTGAGAATGCATCTGTCTTGAGTTTCTATGCAGAAATTCCCGTTTCCAACGAAATCTTAAAATCTATCCAAATATCCACCTGCAGATCCTACAAAAGGAGTGTTTCCAAAATGCTGTATCAAAACAAAGGTTCAACTGTGTTCGTTTAGGACACACATCACAAATAAGTTTCTGAGAATCCTTCTGTCTGGTTTTTATTTGAAGAGATTTCCTTTCTCCCCGTAGGCCTGAAAGCGCTTGAAATGTCCACTTCCAGATACTACAGAAAGAGTGTTTCAAACCTGCACTCTGAAAAGGAATGTTCAATTCTGTGACTTGAATGCAAACATCAGAAAGAAGTTCCTGAGAATGCTTCTCTCTAGATTTTATACGTCATCCCGTTTCCAACGAAATCCACAAAGCTATCCAATTATCCACTTTCAGATTCCACAAAGAGTGTTTTAAAATTGCTCTGTAACAGAAATGTTCAACTCTGTTAGTTGAATACACACATCACAAACAAGTTTCTGAGACGGCTTCTGTCTAGTTTTTATGGGAAGATATTTCCTTTTAACCATAGGCCTCAAAGAGCTCGAAATATCCACTTCCAGGTAGTGCCGAAAGAGTGTTTCAAACCTACTCTATAAAAGGGAATATTCAACTCTGTGACTTGAATGCAAACATCACAAAGCAGTTTCTGAGAATGCTTCCGTCTAGATTTTTTATGAAGATATTCCCGTTTCCAACGAAATCTTCAAAGCTATCTAAATATCAACTTGCAGATTCTACTAAAGGAATGTTTCCAAAATGCTGTATCCAAACAAAGGTTCAACTCTGTGAATTGAGGACATACAGCACAAAGAAGTTTCTGAGAATGATCCTGTCTGGATTTTATAGGAAGATAACCCGTTTCCAATGAAATCCTCAAAGCTATCCAAATATCCACTTGCAGATTCTACCAAAAGAGTGTTTCAAAACTGCTCTGTCAAAAGGAAGGTTCAACACTGTTACTTGAGTACACACAACACAAAGAAGTTTCTGAGAATGCTTCTTTCTGGTTTTTATGAGAAGATATTTCCTTTTTCACCATAGGCCTCAAAGCGCTCGAAATGTCCGCTTCCAGGTAGTGCAGAAAGAGTGTTTCAAACCTGCTCTATGAAAGGAAGTGTTCAACTCTACTGAGTTGAATGCAAACATCACAGAGATGTTTCCGAGAATGCTTCTGTCTTGATTTTATATGAAGATATTCCGGTTTCCAACGAAATCTTCAAAGCTATCCAAATATCCACCTGCAGATTCTACAAAAGGAGTGTTTCCAAAATGCTGTATCAAAACAAAGGTTCAACTCTGTTAGTTGAGGACACACATCACAAATAAGTTTCTGAGAATGCTTCTGTCTAGTTTTTATTTGAAGGTATTTCCTTTCTCTCCATAGGCCTGAAAGCGCTTGAAATGCCCACTTCCAGATACTAGAGAAAGAGTGTTTCAAACCTGCTCTATGAAAGGGAATGTTCAATTCTGTGACTTGAATGCAAACATCACAAAGAAGTTCCTGAGAATGCTTCTCTCTAGATATTATATGTCATCCCGTTTCCAACGAAATCCTCAAAGCTATCCAAATATCCACTTGCAGATTCTACAAAAAGAGTGTTTCAAAACTGCTCTGTCAAAAGGATGGTTCAACACTGTTACATGAGTACACACAACACAAAGAAGTTTCTGAGAATGCTTCTTTCTGGTTTCTATGAGAAGATATTTCCTTTTTCACCATAGGACTCAAAGCGCTCGAAATGTCCTCTTCCAGGTAGTGCAGAAAGAGTGTTTCAAACCTGCTCTATGAAAGGAAGTGTACAACTCCATGAGCTGAATGCAAACATCACTGAGAAGTTTCTGAGAATGCTTCTGTTTGATTTTATATGAAGAAATTCCCGTTTCCAACGAAATCTTCAGAGCTATCCACATATCCACCTGCAGATTCTACAAAAGGAGTGTTTCCAAAATGCTGTATCAAAACCAAGGTTCAACTCTGTTAGTTGAGGACACACATCACAAATAATTTTCTGAGAATGCTTCTGTCTAGATTTTATATGAAGATATCCCCTTTCCAACGAATCCCTCTAAGCTATCCAAATATCCACCTGCAGATTCTACAAAAAGAGTGTTTCCAAAATGCTGTATCAAAACAAAGTTTCAACTCTGTTAGTTGAGGACACACATCACAAATAAGTTTCTGAGGATGCTTCTGTCTAGTTTTTATTCGAAGATATTTCCTTTCTCACCATAGGCCTGAAAGCGCTTGAAATGTCCACTTCCAGATCCTACAGAATGAGTGTTTCAAACCTGCTCTATCAAAGTGAATGTTCAATTCTGTGACTTCAATGCAAACATCACAAAGAAGTTCCTGAGAATGCTTCTCTCTAGATTTTATATGTAATCCCGCTTCCAACGAAATCCTCAGAGCCATCCGAATATCCACTTTCTGATTCCACAAAAAGAGTGTTTTAAAACGGCTCTGTAAAAACAAAAGTTCAACTCTGTTAGTTGAATACACACATCACAAACAAGTTTCTGAGAATGCTTCTGTCTAGTTTTTATGGGAAGATATTTCCTTTTTCACCATAGGCCTCAAAGCGCTCGAAATGTCCACTTCCAGATAGTGCAGAAAGAGTGTTTCAAACGTGCTCTATAAAAGGGAATATTCAACTCTGTGACTTGAATGGAAACATCACAAAGCAGTTTCTGAGAATGCTTCCCTCTAGATTTTATATGGAGATATTCCCTTTTCCAACGAAATCTTCAAATCTATCTAAATATCAACTTGCAGATTCTACTCAAGGAATGTTTCCAAAATGCGGTATCCAGGCAATGGTTCAACTCTGTTAATTGAGGACATACAGCACAAAGAAGTTTCTGAGAATGCTTCTTTCTAGATTTTATATGAAGATATCCCGTTTCCAACGAAATCCTCAAAGCTATCCAAATATCCACTTGCAGATTCTACAAAAAGATTGTTTCAAAACTGCTGTGTCAAAAGGAAGGTTCAACTCTGTTACTTGAGTACACACATCAAAAAGAAGTTTCTGAGAATGCTTGTTTCTGGTTTTTATGAGAAGATATTTCCTTTTTCACCATAGGCCTCAAAGCGCTGCAAATGTCCACTTCCAAATATTACAAAAAGAGTGTTTCAAACCTGCTCTATGAAAGGAAGTTTTCAACTCTGTGAGTGGAATGCAAACATCACAGAGAAGTTTCTGAGAATGCATCTGTCTTGAGTTTATAGGAAGAAATTCCCGTTTCCAATGAAATCTTAAAATCTATCCAAATATCCACCTGCAGATTCTACAAAAGGAGTGTTTCCAAAATGCTGTATCAAAACAAAGGTTCAACTGTGTTCGTTTAGGACACACATCACAAATAAGTTTCTGAGAATCCTTCTGTCTAGTTTTTATTTCAAGATATTTCCTTTCTCCCCATAGGCTTGAAAGCGCTTGAAATGTCCACTTCCAGATACTACAGAGTGTTTCAAACCTGCACTATGAAAAGGAATGTTCAATTCTGTGACTTGAATGCAAACATCAGAAAGAAGTTCCTGAGAATGCTTCTCTCTAGATTTTAAACGTAATCCCGTTTGCAACGAAATCCACAAAGCTATCCAATTATCCACTTTCAGATTCCACCAAAAGACTGTTTTAAAACTGCTCTGTAAAAAGAAATGTTCAACGCTCTTAGTTGAATACACACATCTCAAACAAGTTTCTGAGAAGGCTTCCGTCTAGTTTTTACAGGAAGATATTTCCTTTTTCACCATAGGCCTCAAAGCGCTCGAAATCTCCACTTCCAGGGAGTGCAGAAAGAGTGTTTCAAACCTGCTCTATAAAAGAATATTTAACTCTGTGACTTGAATGCAAACATCACAGAGCAGTTTCTGACAATGCTTCCGTCTAGATTTTTTATGAAGATATTCCCGTTTCCAACGAAATCTTCAAAGCTATCTCAATATCAACTTGCAGATTCTACTAAAGGAATGTTTCCAAAATGCTGTATCCAAACAAAGGTTCAACTCTGTGAATTGAGGACATACAGCACAAAGAAGTTTCTGAGAATGCTCCTGTCTGGATTTTATATGAAGATAACCTGTTTCCAACGAAATACTCAAAGCTATCCAAATATCCACTTGCAGATTCTACCAAAAGAGTGTTTCAAAACTGCTCTGTCAAAAGGAAGGTTCAACACTGTTACTTGAGTACACACAACACAAAGAAGTTTCTGAGAATGCTTCTTTCTGGTTTTTATGAGAAGATATTTCCTTTTTCACCATAGGCCTCAAAGAGCTCGAAATGTCCGCTTCCAGGTAGTGCAGAAAGAGTGTTTCAAACCTGCTCTATGAAAGGAAGTGTTCAACTCTACTGAGTTGAATGCAAACATCACAGAGATGTTTCCGAGAATGCTTCTGTCTTGATTTTATATGAAGATATTCCGGTTTCCAACGAAATCTTCAAAGCTATCCAAATATCCACCTGCAGATTCTACAAAAGGAGTGTTTCCAAAATGCTGTATCAAAACAAAGGTTCAACTCTGTTAGTTGAGGACACACATCACAAATAAGTTTCTGAGAATGCTTCTGTCTAGTTTTTATTTGAAGGTATTTCCTTTCTCTCCATAGGCCTGAAAGCGCTTGAAATGCCCACTTCCAGATACTAGAGAAAGAGTGTTTCAAACCTGCTCTATGAAAGGGAATGTTCAATTCTGTGACTTGAATGCAAACATCACAAAGAAGTTCCTGAGAATGCTTCTCTCTAGATATTATATGTCATCCCGTTTCCAACGAAATCCTCAAAGCTATCCAAATATCCACTTGCAGATTCTACAAAAAGAGTGTTTCAAAACTCCTCTGTCAAAAGGATGGTTCAACACTGTTACATGAGTACACACAACACAAAGAAGTTTCTGAGAATGCTTCTTTCTGGTTTCTATGAGAAGATATTTCCTTTTTCACCATAGGACTCAAAGTGCTCGAAATGTCCTCTTCCAGGTAGTGCAGAAAGAGTGTTTCAAACCTGCTCTATGAAAGGAAGTGTACAACTCCATGAGCTGAATGCAAACATCACTGAGAAGTTTCTGAGAATGCTTCTGTTTGATTTTATATGAAGAAATTCCCGTTTCCAACGAAATCTTCAGAGCTATCCACATATCCACCTGCAGATTCTACAAAAGGAGTGTTTCCATAATGCTGTATCAAAACCAAGGTTCAACTCTGTTAGTTGAGGACACACATCACAAATAAGTTTCTGAGAATGCTTCTGTCTAGATTTTATATGAAGATATCCCCTTTCCAACGAATCCCTCTAAGCTATCCAAATATCCACCTGCAGATTCTACAAAAAGAGTGTTTCCAAAATGCTGTATCAAAACAAAGGTTCAACTCTGTTAGTTGAGGACACACATCACAAATAAGTTTGAGGATGCTTCTGTCTAGTTTTTATTTGAAGATATTTCCTTTCTCCCCATAGGCCTGAAAGCGCTTGAATTGTCCACTTCCAGATACTACAGAATGAGTGCTTCAAACCTGCTCTATCAAAGTGAATGTTCAATTCTGTGACTTCAATGGAAACATCACAAAGTAGTTCCTGAGAATGCTTCTCTCTAGATTTTATATGTAATCCCGCTTCCAACGAGGTCCTCAAAGCCATCCGAATATCCACTTTCTGATTCCACAAAAAGATTGTCTTAAAACTGCTCTGTAAAAACAAAAGTTCAAGTCTGTTAGTTGAATACACACATCACAAACAAGTTTCTGAGAATGCTTCTGTCTAGTTTTTATGGGAAGATATTTCCTTTTTCACCATAGGCCTCACAGCGATCGAAATGTCCGCTTCCAGATAGTGCAGAAAGAGTGTTTCAAACGTGCTCTATAAAAGAGAATATTCAACTCTGTGACTTGAATGGAAACATCACAAAGCAGTTTCTGAGAATGCCTCCGTCTAGATTTTATAGGAAGATATTCCCGTTTCCAACGAAATCTTCAAATCTATCTAAATATCAACTTGCAGATTCTACTAAAGGAATGTTTCCAAAATGCTGTATCCAAGCAATGTTTCAACTCTGTTAATTGAGGACATACAGCACAAAGAAGTTTCTGAGAATGCTTCTGTCTAGGTTTTATATGAAGATATCCCGTTTCCAACGAAATCCTCAAAGCTATCCAAATATCCACTTGCAGATTCTACAAAAAGATTGTTTCAAAACTGCTGTGTCAAAAGGAAGGTTCAACTCTGTTACTCGAGTACACACATCAAAAAGAAGTTTTCTGAGAATGCTTTGTTTCTGGTTTTTATGAGAAGATATTTCCTTTTTCACCATAGGCCTCAAAGCGCTGCAAATGTCCACTTCCAAATATTACAAAAAGAGTGTTTCAAACCTGCTCTATGAAAGGAAGTTTTCAACTCTATGAGTGGAATGCAAACATCACAGAGAAGTTTCGGAGAATGCATCTGTCTTGAGTTTATATGAAGAAATTCCCGTTTCCAACGAAATCTTAAAATCTATCCAAATATCCACCTGCAGATTCTACAAAGGGAGTGTTTCCAAAATGCTGTATCAAAACAAAGGTTCAACTGTGTTCGTTTAGGACACACATCACCAATAAGTTTCTGAGAATCCTTCTGTCTAGTTTTTATTTGAAGATATTTCCTTTCTCCCCATAGGCCTGAAAGCGCTTGAAATGTCCACTTCCAGATACTACAGAAAGAGTGTTTCAAACCTGCACTATGAAAAGGAATGTTCAATTCTGTGACTTGAATGCAAACATCAGAAAGAAGTTCCTGAGAATGCTTCTCTCTAGATTTTATACGTCATCCCGTTTCCAACGAAATCCACAAAGCTATCCAATTATCCACTTTCAGATTCCACAAAAGAGTGTTTTAAAACTGCTCTGTAAAAAGAAATGTTCAACGCTCTTAGTTGAATACACACATCTCAAACAAGTTTCTGAGAAGGCTTCCGCCTAGTTTTTATGGGAAGATATTTCCTTTTTCACCATAGGCCTCAAAGCGCTCGAAATCTCCACTTCCAGGGAGTGCAGAAAGAGTGTTTCAAACCTGCTCTGTAAAAGAATATTTAACTCTGTGACTTCAATGCAAACATCACAAAGCAGTTTCTGACAATGCTTCCGTCTAGATTTTTTATGAAGATATTCCCGTTTCCAACGAAATCTTCAAAGCTATCTAAATATCAACTTGCAGATTCTACTAAAGGAATGTTTCCAAAATGCTGTATCCAAACAAAGGTTCAACTCTGTGAATTGAGGACATACAGCACAAAGAAGTTTCTGAGAATGCTTCTGTCTAGATTTAATATGAAGATAACCCGTTTCCAACGAAATCCTCAAAGCTATCCAAATATCCACTTGCAGATTCTACCAAAAGAGTGTTTCAAAACTGCTCTGTCAAAAGGATGGTTCAACACTGTTACATGAGTACACACAACACAAAGAAGTTTCTGAGAACGCTTCTTTCTGGTTTTTATGAGAAGATATTTCCTTTTTCACCATAGGCCTCAAAGCGCTCGAAATGTCCACTTCCTGGTAGTGCAGAAAGAGTGTTTCAAACCTGCTCTATGAAAGGAAGTGTTCAACTCCATGAGCTGAATGCAAACATCACAGAGAAGTTCCTGAGAATGCTTCTGTTTGATTTTATATGAAGAAATTCCCGTTTCCAACGAAATCTTCAAAGCTATCCACATATCCACCTGCAGATTCTACAAAAGGAGTGTTTCCAAAATGCTGTATCAAAACCAAGGTTCCACTCTGTTAGTTGAGGACACACATCACAAATAAGTTTCTGAGAATGCTTCTGTCTACATTTTATATGAAGATATCCCCTTTCCAACGAATCCCTCTAAGCTATCCAAATATCCACCTGCAGATTCTACAAAAAGAGTGTTTCCAAAATGCTGTATCAAAAAAAAGTTTCAACTCTGTTAGTTGAGGACACACATCACAAATAAGTTTCTGAGGATGCTTCTGTCTAGTTTTTATTTGAAGATATTTCCTTTCTCCCTATAGGCCTGAAAGCGCTAGAATTGTCCGCTTCCAGATACTACAGAATGAGTGTTTCAAACCTGCTCTATCAAAGTGAATGTTCAATTCTGTGACATCAATGCAAACATCACAAAGTAGTTCCTGAGAATGCTTCTCTCTAGATTTTATATGTAATCCCGCTTCCAACGAAATCCTCAAAGCCATCCGAATATCCACTTTCTGATTCCACAAAAAGATTGTCTTAAAACTGCTCTGTAAAAACAAAAGTTCAAGTCTGTTAGTTGAATACACACATCACAAACAAGTTTCTGAGAATGCTTCTGTCTAGTTTTTATGGGAAGATATTTCCTTTTTCACCATAGGCCTCAAAGCGCTCGAAATGTCCACTTCCAGATAGTGCAGAAAGAGTGTTTCAAACGTGCTCTATAAAAGAGAATATTCAACTCTGTGACTTGAATGGAAACATCACAAAGCAGTTTCTGAGAATGCCTCCGTCTAGATTTTATATGAAGATATTCCCGTTTCCAACGAAATCTTCAAATCTATCTAAATATCAACTTGCAGATTCTACTAAAGGAATATTTCCAAAATGCTTTATCCAAGCAATGGTTCAACTCTGTTAATTGAGGACATACAGCACAAAGAAGTTTCTGAGAATGCTTCTGTCTAGATTTTATATGAAGATATCCCGTTTCCAACGAAATCCTCAAAGCTATCCAAATATCCACTTGCAGATTCTACAAAAAGATTGTTTCAAAACTGCTGTGTCAAAAGGAAGGTTCAACTCTGTTACTTGAGTACACACATCAAAATGAAGTTTCTGAGAATGCTTGTTTCTGGTTTTTATGAGAAGATATTTCCTTTTTCACCATAGGCCTCAAAGCGCTGCAAATGTCCACTTCCAAATATTACAAAAAGAGTGTTTCAAACCTGCTCTATGAAAGGAAGTTTTCAACTCTATGAGTGGAATGCAAACATCACAGAGAAGTTTCTGAGAATGCATCTGTCTTGAGTTTATATGAAGAAATTCCCGTTTCCAACGAAATCTTAAAATCTATCCAAATATCCACCTGCAGATTCTACAAAAGGAGTGTTTCCAAAACGCTCTATCAAAACAAAGGTTCAACTGTGTTCGTTTAGGACACACATCACCAAAAAGTTTCTGAGAATCCTTCTGTCTAGTTTTTATTTGAAGATATTTCCTTTCTCCCCACAGGCCTGAAAGCGCTTGAAATGTCCACTTCCAGATACTACAGAAAGAGTGTTTCAAACCTGCACTATGAAAAGGAATGTTCAATTCTGTGACTTGAATGCAAACATCAGAAAGAAGTTCCTGAGAATGCTTCTCTCTAGATTTTATACGTCATCCCGTTTCCAACGAAATCCACAAAGCTATCCAATTATCCACTTTCAGATTCCACAAAAAGAGTGTTTTAAAACTGCTCTGTAAAAAGAAATGTTCAACGCTCTTAGTTGAATACACACATCTCAAACAAGTTTCTGAGAAGGCTTCCGTCTAGTTTTTATGGGAAGATATTTGTTTTTCACCATTGGCCTCAAAGCGCTCGAAATCTCCACTTCCAGGGAGTGCAGAAAGAGTGTTTCAAACGTGCTCTATAAAAGAATATTTAACTCTGTGACTTGAATGCAAACATCACAAAGCAGTTTCTGACAATGCTTCCGTCTAGATTTTATATGAAGATATTCCCGTTTCCAACGAAATCTTCAAATCTATCTAAATATCAACTTGCAGATTCTACTAAAGGAATGTTTCCAAAATGCTGTATCCAAACAAAGGTTCAACACTGTGAATTGAGGACATACAGCACAAAGAAGTTTCTGAGAATGCTTCTGTCTAGATTTAATATGAAGATAACCCGTTTCCAACGAAATCCTCAAAGCTATCCAAATATCCACTTGCAGATTCTACAAAAAGAGTGTTTCAAAACTGCTCTGTCAAAAGGATGGTTCAACACTGTTACATGAGTACACACAACACAAAGAAGTTTCTGAGAACGCTTCTTTCTGGTTTTTATGAAAGGATATTTCCTTTTTCACCATAGGCCTCAAAGCGCTCGAAATGTCCACTTCCAGGTAGTGCAGAAAGAGTGTTTCAAACCTGCTCTATGAAAGGAAGTGTTCAACTCCATGAGCTGAATGCAAACATCACAGAGAAGTTCCTGAGAATGCTTCTGTTTGATTCTATATGAAGAAATTCCCGATTCCAAAGAAATCTTCAAAGCTATCCAAATATCCACCTGCAGATTCTACAAAAGGAGTGTTTCCAAAATGCTGTATCAAAACCAAGGTTCAACTCTGTTAGTTGAGGACACACATCACAAATAAGTTTCTGAGAATGCTTCTGTCTAGATTTTATATGAAGATATCCCCTTTCCAACGAATCCCTCTAAGCTATCCAAATATCCACCTGCAGATTCTACAAAAGGAGTGTTTCCAAAATGCTGTATCAAAACCAAGGTTCCACTCTGTTAGTTGAGGACACACATCACAAATAAGTTTCTGAGGATGCTTCTGTCTAGTTTTTATTTGAAGATATTTCCTTTCTCCCCATAGGCCTGAAAGCGCTAGAATTGTCCGCTTCCAGATACTACAGAATGAGTGTTTCAAACCTGCTCTATCAAAGTGAATGTTCAATTTTGTGACATCAATGCAAACATCACAAAGTAGTTCCTGAGAATGCTTCTCTCTAGATTTTATATGTAATCCCGCTTCCAACGAAATCCTCAAAGCCATCCGAATATCCACTTTCTGATTCCACAAAAAGATTGTCTTAAAACTGCTCTGTAAAAACAAAAGTTCAAGTCTGTTAGTTGAATACACACATCATAAACAAGTTTCTGAGAATGCTTCTGTCTAGTTTTTATGGGAAGATATTTCCTTTTTCACCATAGGCCTCACAGCGCTCGAAATGTCCACTTCCAGATAGTGCAGAAAGAGTGTTTCAAACGTGCTCTATAAAAGAGAATATTCAACTCTGTGACTTGAATGGAAACATCACAAAGCAGTTTCTGAGAATGCCTCCGTCTAGATTTTATATGAAGATATTCCCGTTTCCAACGAAATCTTCAAATCTATCTAAATATCAACTTGCAGATTCTACTAAAGGAATGTTTCCAAAACGCTGTATCCAAGCAATGGTTCAACTCTGTTAATTGAGGACATACAGCACAAAGAAGTTTCTGAGAATGCTTCTGTCTAGATTTTATATGAAGATATCCCGTTTCCAACGAAATCCTCAAATCTATCCAAATATCCACTTGCAGATTCTACAAAAAGATTGTTTCAAAACTGCTGTGTCAAAAGGAAGGTTCAACTCTGTTACTTGAGTACACACATCAAAAAGAAGTTTCTGAGAATGCTTGTTTCTGGTTTTTATGAGAAGATATTTCCTTTTACACCATAGGCCTCAAAGCGCTGCAAATGTCCACTTCCAAATATTACAAAAAGAGTGTTTCAAACCTGCTCTATGAAAGGAAGTTTTCAACTCTATGAGTGGAATGCAAACATCACAGAGAAGTTTCGGAGAATGCATCTGTCTTGAGTTTATATGAAGAAATTCCCGTTTCCAACGAAATCTTAAAATCTATCCAAATATCCACCTGCAGATTCTACAAAGGGAGTGTTTCCAAAATGCTGTATCAAAACAAAGGTTCAACTGTGTTCGTTTAGGACACACATCACCAATAAGTTTCTGAGAATCCTTCTGTCTAGTTTTTATTTGAAGATATTTCCTTTCTCCCCATAGGCCTGAAAGTGCTTGAAATGTCCACTTCCAGATACTACAGAAAGAGTGTTTCAAACCTGCACTATGAAAAGGAATGTTCAATTCTGTGACTTGAATGCAAACATCAGAAAGAAGTTCCTGAGAATGCTTCTCTCTAGATTTTATACGTCATCCCGTTTCCAACGAAATCCACAAAGCTATCCAATTATCCACTTTCAGATTCCACAAAAGAGTGTTTTAAAACTGCTCTGTAAAAAGAAATGTTCAACGCTCTTAGTTGAATACACACATCTCAAACAAGTTTCTGAGAAGGCTTCCGTCTAGTTTTTATGGGAAGATATTTCCTTTTTCACCACAGGCCTCAAAGCGCTCGAAATCTCCACTTCCAGGGAGTGCAGAAAGAGTGTTTCAAACCTGCTCTGTAAAAGAATATTTAACTCTGTGACTTGAATGCAAACATCACAAAGCAGTTTCTGACAATGCTTCCGTCTAGATTTTTTATGAAGATATTCCCGTTTCCAACGAAATCTTCAAAGCTATCTAAATATCAACTTGCAGATTCTACTAAAGGAATGTTTCCAAAATGCTGTATCCAAACAAAGGTTCAACTCTGTGAATTGAGGACATACAGCACAAAGAAGTTTCTGAGAATGCTTCTGTCTAGATTTAATATGAAGATAACCCGTTTCCAACGAAATCCTCAAAGCTATCCAAATATCCACTTGCAGATTCTACAAAAAGAGTGTTTCAAAACTGCTCTGTCAAAAGGATGGTTCAACACTGTTACATGAGTACACACAACACAAAGAAGTTTCTGAGAACGCTTCTTTCTGGTTTTTATGAGAGGATATTTCCTTTTTCACCGTAGGCCTCAAAGCGCTCGAAATGTCCACTTCCAGGTAGTGCAGAAAGAGTGTTTCAAACCTGCTCTATGAAAGGAAGTGTTCAACTCCATGAGCTGAATGCAAACATCACAGAGAAGTTCCTGAGAATGCTTCTGTTTGATTTTATATGAAGAAATTCCCGTTTCCAACGAAATCTTCAAAGCTATCCACATATCCACCTGCAGATTCTTCAAAAGGAGTGTTTCCAAAATGCTGTATCAAAACCAAGGTTCAACTCTGTTAGTTGAGGACACACATCACAAATAAGTTTCTGAGAATGCTTCTGTCTAGATTTTATATGAAGATATCCCCTTTCCAACGAATCCCTCTAAGCTATCCAAATATCCACCTGCAGATTCTACAAAAAGAGTGTTTCCAAAATGCTGTATCAAAACAAAGTTTCAACTCTGTTAGTTGAGGACACACATCACAAATAAGTTTCTGAGGATGCTTCTGTCTAGTTTTAATTTGAAGATATTTCCTTTCTCACCATAGGCCTGAAAGCGCTTGAAATGTCCACTTCCAGATACTACAGCATGAGTGTTTCAAACCTGCTCTATCATAGTGAATGTTCAATTCTGTGACTTCAATGCAAACATCACAAAGTAGTTCCTGAGAATGCTTCTCTCTAGATTTTATATGTAATCCCGCTTCCAACGAAATCCTCAAAGCCATCCGAATATCCACTTTCTGATTCCACAAAAAGATTGTTTTAAAACTGCTCTGTAAAAACAAAAGTTCAAGTCTGTTAGTTGAATACACACATCACAAACAAGTTTCTGAGAATGCTTCTGTCTAGTTTTTATGGGAAGATATTTCCTTTTTCACCATAGGCCTCAAAGCGCTCGAAATGTCCACTTCCAGATAGTGCAGAAAGTGTGTTTCAAACGTGCTCTATAAAAGAGAATATTCAACTCTGTGACTTGAATGGAAACATCACAAAGCAGTTTCTGAGAATGCCTCCGTCTAGATTTTATATGAAGATATTCCCGTTTCCAACGAAATCTTCAAAGCTATCTAAATATCAACTTGCAGATTCTACTAAAGGAATGTTTCCAAAATGCTGTATCCAAGCAATGGTTCAACTCTGTTAATTGAGGACATACAGCACAAAGAAGTTTCTGAGAATGCTTCTGTCTAGATTTTATATGAAGATATCCCGTTTCCAACGAAATCCTCAAAACTATCCAAATATCCACTTGCAGATTCTACAAAAAGATTGTTTCAAAACTGCTGTGTCAAAAGGAAGGTTCAACTCTGTTACTTGAGTACACACATCAAAAAGCAGTTTCTGAGAATGCTTGTTTCTGGTTTTTATGAGAAGATATTTCCTTTTTCACCATAGGCCTCAAAGCGCTGCAAATGTCCACTTCCAAATATTACAAAAAGAGTGTTTCAAACCTGCTCTATGAAAGGAAGTTTTCAACTCTGTGAGTGGAATGCAAACATCACAGAGAAGTTTCTGAGAATGCATCTGTCTTGAGTTTATATGAAGAAATTCCCGTTTCCAATGAAATCTTAAAATCTATCCAAATATCCACCTGCAGATTCTACAAAAGAGTGCTTCCAAAATGCTATATCAAAACAAAGGTTCAACTGTGTTCGTTGAGAACACACATCACAAATAAGTTTCTGAGAATCCTTCTGTCTAGTTTTTATTTCAAGATATTTCCTTTCTCCCCATAGGCCTGAAAGCACTTGAAATGTCCACTTCCAGATACTACAGAGTGTTTCAAACCTGCACTATGAAAAGGAATGTTCAATTCTGTGACTTGAATGCAAACATCAGAAAGAAGTTCCTGAGAATGCTTCTCTCTAGATTTTAAACGTAATCCCGTTTCCAACGAAATCCACAAAGCTATCCAATTATCCACTTTCAGATTCCACCAAAAGACTGTTTTAAAACTGCTCTGTAAAAAGAAATGTTCAACGCTCTTAGTTGAATACACACATCTCAAACAAGTTTCTGAGAAGGCTTCCGTCTAGTATTTATGGGAAGATATTTCCTTTTTCACCATAGGCCTCAAAGCGCTCGAAATCTCCACTTCCAGGGAGTGCAGAAAGAGTGTTTCAAACCTGCTCTGTAAAAGAATATTTAACTCTGTGACTTGAATGCAAACATCACAAAGCAGTTTCTGACAATGCTTCCGTCTAGAATTTTATGAAGATATTCCCGTTTCCAAAGAAATCTTCAAAGCTATCCACATATCCACCTGCAGATTCTTCAAAAGGAGTGTTTCCAAAATGCTGTATCAAAACCAAGGTTCAACTCTGTTAGTTGAGGACACACATCACAAATAAGTTTCTGAGAATGCTTCTGTCTAGATTTTATAAGAAGATATCCCCTTTCCAACGAATCCCTCTAAGCTATCCAAATATCCACCTGCAGATTCTACAAAAAGAGTGTTTCCAAAATGCTGTATCAAAACAAAGTTTCAACTCTGTTAGTTGAGGACACACATCACAAATAAGTTTCTGAGGATGCTTCTGTCTAGTTTTTATTTGAAGATATTTCCTTTCTCCCCATAGGCCTGAAAGCGCTTGAAATGTCCACTTCCAGATACTACAGAATGAGTGTTTCAAACCTGCTCTATCAAAGTGAATGTTCAATTCTGTGACTTCAATGCAAACATCACAAAGTAGTTCCTGAGAATGCTTCTCTATAGATTTTATATGTAATCCCGCTTCCAACGAAATCCTCAAAGCCATCCGAATATCCACTTTCTGATTCCACCAAAAGATTGTTTTAAAACTGCTCTGTAAAAACAAAAGTTCAAGTCTGTTAGTTGAATACACACATCACAAACAAGTTTCTGAGAATGCTTCTGTCTAGTTTTTATGGGAAGATATTTCCTTTTTCAGCATAGGCCTCACAGCGCTCGAAATGTCCACTTCCAGAGAGTGCAGAAAGAGTGTTTCAAACGTGCTCTATAAAAGAGAATATTCAACTCTGTGACTTGAATGGAAACATCACAAAGCAGTTTCTGAGAATGCCTCCGTCTAGATTTTATATGAAGATATTCCCGTTTCCAACGAAATCTTCAAATCTATCTAAATATCAACTTGCAGATTCTACTAAAGGAATGTTTCCAAAATGCTGTATCCAAGCAATGGTTCAACTCTGTTAATTGAGGACATACAGCACAAAGAAGTTTCTGAGAATGCTTCTGTCTAGATTTTATATGAAGATATCCCGTTTCCAACGAAATCCTCAAAGCTATCCAAATATCCACTTGCAGATTCTACAAAAAGATTGTTTCAAAACTGCTGTGTCAAAAGGAAGGTTCAACTCTGTTACTTGAGTACACACATCAAAAAGCAGTTTGCTGAGAATGCTTGTTTCTGGTTTTTATGAGAAGATATTTCCTTTTTCACCATAGGCCTCAAAGCGCTGCAAATGTCCACTTCCAAATATTACAAAAGGAGTGTTTCAAACCTGCTCTATGAAAGGAAGTTTTCAACTCTATGAGTGGAATGCAAACATCACAGAGAAGTTTCTGAGAATGCATCTGTCTTGAGTTTATATGCAGAAATTCCCGTTTCCAACGAAATCTTAAAATCTATCCAAATATCCACCTGCAGATCCTACAAAAGGAGTGTTTCCAAAATGCTGTATCAAAACAAAGGTTCAACTGTGTTCGTTTAGGACACACATCACAAATAAGTTTCTGAGAATCCTTCTGTCTAGTTTTTATTTGAAGATATTTCCTTTCTCCCCGTAGGCCTGAAAGCGCTTGAAATGTCCACTTCCAGATACTACAGAAAGAGTGTTTCAAACCTGCACTCTGAAAAGGAATGTTCAATTCTGTGACTTGAATGCAAACATCAGAAAGAAGTTCCTGAGAATGCTTCTCTCTAGATTTTATACGTCATCCCGTTTCCAACGAAATCCACAAAGCTATCCAATTATCCACTTTCAGATTCCACAGAAAGAGTGTTTTAAAATTGCTCTGTAACAGAAATGTTCAACTCTGGTAGTTGAATACACACATCACAAACAAGTTTCTGAGACGGCTTCTGTCTAGTTTTTATGGGAAGATATTTCCTTTTAACCATAGGCCTCAAAGAGCTCGAAATATCCACTTCCAGGTAGTGCCGAAAGAGTGTTTCAAACCTACTCTATAAAAGGGAATATTCAACTCTGTGACTTGAATGCAAACATCACAAAGCAGTTTCTGAGAATGCTTCCGTCTAGATTTTCTATGAAGATATTCCCGTTTCCAACGAAATCTTCAAAGCTATCTAAATATCAACTTGCAGATTCTACTAAAGGAATGTCTCCAAAATGCTGTATCCAAACAAAGGTTCAGCTCTGTGAATTGAGGACATACAGCACAAAGAAGTTTCTGAGAATGCTCCTGTCTGGATTTTATAGGAAGATAACCCGTTTCCAACGAAATCCTCAAAGCTATCCAAATATCCACTTGCAGATTCTACCAAAAGAGTGTTTCAAAACTGCTCTGTCAAAAGGAAGGTTCAACACTGTTACTTGAGTACACACAACACAAAGAAGTTTCTGAGAATGCTTCTTTCTGGTTTTTATGAGAAGATATTTCCTTTTTCACCATAGGCCTCAAAGCGCTCGAAATGTCCGCTTCCAGGTAGTGCAGAAAGAGTGTTTCAAACCTGCTCTATGAAAGGAAGTGTTCAACTCTACTGAGTTGAATGCAAACATCACAGAGATGTTTCCGAGAATGCTTCTGTCTTGATTTTATATGAAGATATTCCGGTTTCCAACGAAATCTTCAAAGCTATCCGAATATCCACCTGCAGATTCTACAAAAGGAGTGTTTCCAAAATGCTGTATCAAAACAAAGGTTCAACTCTGTTAGTTGAGGACACACATCACAAATAAGTTTCTGAGAATGCTTCTGTCTAGTTTTTATTTGAAGGTATTTCCTTTCTCTCCATAGGCCTGAAAGCGCTTGAAATGCCCACTTCCAGATACTAGAGAAAGAGTGTTTCAAACCTGCTCTATGAAAGGGAATGTTCAATTCTGTGACTTGAATGCAAACATCACAAAGAAGTTCCTGAGAATGCTTCTCTCTAGATATTATATGTCATCCCGTTTCCAACGAAATCCTCAAAGCTATCCAAATATCCACTTGCAGATTCTACAAAAAGAGTGTTTCAAAACTGCTCTGTCAAAAGGATGGTTCAACACTGTTACATGAGTACACACAACACAAAGAAGTTTCTGAGAATGCTTCTTTCTGGTTTCTATGAGAAGATATTTCCTTTTTCACCATAGGACTCAAAGCGCTCGAAATGTCCTCTTCCAGGTAGTGCAGAAAGAGTGTTTCAAACCTGCTCTATGAAAGGAAGTGTACAACTCCATGAGCTGAATGCAAACATCACTGAGAAGTTTCTGAGAATGCTTCTGTTTGATTTTATATGAAGAAATTCCCGTTTCCAACGAAATCTTCAGAGCTATCCACATATCCACCTGCAGATTCTACAAAAGGAGTGTTTCCAAAATGCTGTATCAAAACCAAGGTTCAACTCTGTTAGTTGAGGACACACATCACAAATAAGTTTCTGAGAATGCTTCTGTCTAGATTTTATATTAAGATATCCCCTTTCCAACGAATCCCTCTAAGCTATCCAAATATCCACCTGCAGATTCTACAAAAAGAGTGTTTCCAAAATGCTGTATCAAAACAAAGTTTCAACTCTGTTAGTTGAGGAAACACATCACCAATTAGTTTGAGGATGCTTCTGTCTAGTTTTTATTCGAAGATATTTCCTTTCTCACCATAGGCCTGAAAGCGCTTGAAATGTCCACTTCCAGATACTACAGAATGAGTGTTTCAAACCTGCTCTATCAAAGTGAATGTTCAATTCTGTGACTTCAATGCAAACATCAGAAAGAAGTTTCTGAGAATGCTTCTCTCTAGATTTTATACGTAATCCCGCTTCCAACGAAATCCTCAGAGCCATCCGAATATCCACTTTCTGATTCCACAAAAAGAGTGTTTTAAAACGGCTCTGTAAAAACAAAAGTTCAACTCTGTTAGTTGAATACACACATCACAAACAAGTTTCTGAGAATGCTTCTGTCTAGTTTTTATGGGAAGATATTTCCTTTTTCACCATAGGCCTCAAAGCGCTCGAAATGTCCGCTTCCAGATAGTGCAGAAAGAGTGTTTCAAACGTGCTCTATAAAAGGGAATATTCAACTCTGTGACTTGAATGGAAACATCACAAAGCAGTTTCTGAGAATGCTTCCCTCTAGATTTTATATGGAGATATTCCCTTTTCCAACGAAATCTTCAAATCTATCTAAATATCAACTTGCAGATTCTACTCAAGAAATGTTTCCAAAATGCTGTATCCAGGCAATGGTTCAACTCTGTTAATTGAGGACATACAGCACAAAGAAGTTTCTGAGAATGCTTCTGTCTAGATTTTATATGAAGATATCCCGTTTCCAACGAAATCCTCAAAGCTATCCAAATATCCACTTGCAGATTCTACAAAAAGATTGTTTCAAAACTGCTGTGTCAAGAGGAAGGTTCAACTCTGTTACTTGAGTACACACATCAAAAAGAAGTTTCTGAGAATGCTTGTTTCTGGTTTTTATGAGAAGATATTTCCTTTTTCACCATAGGCCTCAAAGCGCTGCAAATGTCCACTTCCAAATATTACAAAAAGAGTGTTTCAAACCTGCTCTATGAAAGGAAGTTTTCAACTCTATGAGTGGAATGCAAACATCACAGAGAAGTTTCTGAGAATGCATCTGTCTTGAGCTTCTATGAAGAAATTCCCGTTTCCAACGAAATCTTAAAATCTATCCAAATATCCACCTGCAGATCCTACAAAAGGAGTGTTTCCAAAATGCTGTATCAAAACAAAGGTTCAACTGTGTTCGTTTAGGACACACATCACAAATAAGTTTCTGAGAATCCTTCTGTCTAGTTTTTATTTGAAGATATTTCCTTTCTCCCCGTAGGCCTGAAAGCGCTTGAAATGTCCACTTCCAGATACTACAGAAAGAGTGTGTTTCAAACCTGCACTCTGAAAAGGAATGTTCAATTCTGTGACTTGAATGCAAACATCAGAAAGAAGTTCCTGAGAATGCTTCTCTCTAGATTTTATACGTCATCCCGTTTCCAACGAAATCCACAAAGCTATCCAATTATCCACTTTCAGATTCCACAAAAAGAGTGTTTTAAAATTGCTCTGTAACAGAAATGTTCAACTCTGGTAGTTGAATACACACATCACAAACAAGTTTCTGAGACGGCTTCTGTCTAGTTTTTATGGGAAGATATTTCCTTTTAACCATAGGCCTCAAAGAGCTCGAAATATCCACTTCCAGGTAGTGCCGAAAGAGTGTTTCAAACCTACTCTATAAAAGGGAATATTCAACTCTGTGACTTGAATGCAAACATCACAAAGCAGTTTCTGAGAATGCTTCCGTCTAGATTTTCTATGAAGATATTCCCGTTTCCAACGAAATCTTCAAAGCTATCTAAATATCAACTTGCAGATTCTACTAAAGGAATGTCTCCAAAATGCTGTATCCAAACAAAGGTTCAGCTCTGTGAATTGAGGACATACAGCACAAAGAAGTTTCTGAGAATGCTCCTGTCTGGATTTTATAGGAAGATAACCCGTTTCCAACGAAATCCTCAAAGCTCTCCAAATATCCACTTGCAGATTCTACCAAAAGAGTGTTTCAAAACTGCTCTGTCAAAAGGAAGGTTCAACACTGTTACTTGAGTACACACAACACAAAGAAGTTTCTGAGAATGCTTCTTTCTGGTTTTTATGAGAAGATATTTCCTTTTTCACCATAGGCCTCAAAGCGCTCGAAATGTCCGCTTCCAGGTAGTGCAGAAAGAGTGTTTCAAACCTGCTCTATGAAAGGAAGTGTTCAACTCTACTGAGTTGAATGCAAACATCACAGAGATGTTTCCGAGAATGCTTCTGTCTTGATTTTATATGAAGATATTCCGGTTTCCAACGAAATCTTCAAAGCTATCCAAATATCCACCTGCAGATTCTACAAAAGGAGTGTTTCCAAAATGCTGTATCAAAACAAAGGTTCAACTCTGTTAGTTGAGGACACACATCACAAATAAGTTTCTGAGAATGCTTCTGTCTAGTTTTTATTTGAAGGTATTTCCTTTCTCTCCATAGGCCTGAAAGCGCTTGAAATGCCCACTTCCAGATACTAGAGAAAGAGTGTTTCAAACCTGCTCTATGAAAGGGAATGTTCAATTCCGTGACTTCAATGCAAACATCACAAAGAAGTTCCTGAGAATGCTTCTCTCTAGATTTTATACGTAATCCCGCTTCCAACGAAATCCTCAGAGCCATCCGAATATCCACTTTCTGATTCCACAAAAAGAGTGTTTTAAAACGGCTCTGTAAAAACAAAAGTTCAACTCTGTTAGTTGAATACACACATCACAAACAAGTTTCTGAGAATGCTTCTGTCTAGTTTTTATGGGAAGATATTTCCTTTTTCACCATAGGCCTCAAAGCGCTCAAAATGTCCGCTTCCAGATAGTGCAGAAAGAGTGTTTCAAACGTGCTCTATAAAAGGGAATATTCAACTCTGTGACTTGAATGGAAACATCACAAAGCAGTTTCTGAGAATGCTTCCCTCTAGATTTTATATGGAGATATTCCCTTTTCCAACGAAATCTTCAAATCTATCTAAATATCAACTTGCAGATTCTACTCAAGGAATGTTTCCAAAATGCTGTATCCAGGCAATGGTTCAACTCTGTTAATTGAGGACATACAGCACAAAGAAGTTTCTGAGAATGCTTCTGTCTAGATTTTATATGAAGATATCCCGTTTCCAACGAAATCCTCAAAGCTATCCAAATATCCACTTGCAGATTCTACAAAAAGATTGTTTCAAAACTGCTGTGTCAAAAGGAAGGTTCAACTCTGTTACTTGAGTACACACATCAAAAAGAAGTTTCTGAGAATGCTTGTTTCTGGTTTTTATGAGAAGATATTTCCTTTTTCACCATAGGCCTCAAAGCGCTGCAAATGTCCACTTCCAAATATTACAAAAAGAGTGTTTCAAACCTGCTCTATGAAAGGAAGTTTTCAACTCTATGAGTGGAATGCAAACATCACAGAGAAGTTTCTGAGAATGCATCTGTCTTGAGCTTCTATGAAGAAATTCCCGTTTCCAACGAAATCTTAAAATCTATCCAAATATCCACCTGCAGATCCTACAAAAGGAGTGTTTCCAAAATGCTGTATCAAAACAAAGGTTCAACTGTGTTCGTTTAGGACACACATCACAAATAAGTTTCTGAGAATCCTTCTGTCTAGTTTTTATTTGAAGATATTTCCTTTCTCCCCATAGGCCTGAAAGCGCTTGAAAAGTCCACTTCCAGATACTACAGAAAGAGTGTTTCAAACCTGCACTATGAAAAGGAATGTTCAATTCTGTGACTTGAATGCAAACATCAGAAAGAAGTTCCTGAGAATGCTTCTCTCTAGATTTTATACGTCATACGGTTTCCAACGAAATCCACAAAGCTATCCAATTATCCACTTTCAGATTCCACAAAAAGAGTGTTTTAAAACTGCTCTGTAAAAAGAAATGTTCAACGCTCTTAGTTGAATACACACATCTCAAACAAGTTTCTGAGAAGGCTTCCGTCTAGTTTTTATGGGAAGATATTTCCTTTTTCACCATAGGCCTCAAAGCGCTCGAAATCTCCACTTCCAGGGAGTGCAGAAAGAGTGTTTCAAACCTGCTCTGTAAAAGAATATTTAACTCTGTGACTTGAATGCAAACATCACAAAGCTGTGTCTGACAATGCTTCCGTCTAGTATTTTTTATGAAGATATTCCCGTTTCCAACGAAATCTTCAAAGCTATCTAAATATCAACTTGCAGATTCTACTAAAGGAATGTTTCCAAAATGCTGTATCCAAACAAAGGTTCAACTCTGTGAATTGAGGACATACAGCACAAAGAAGTTTCTGAGAATGCTCCTGTCTGGATTTTATATGAAGATAACCCGTTTCCAACGAAATCCTCAAAGCTCTCCAAATATCCACTTGCAGATTCTACCAAAAGAGTGTTTCAAAACTGCTCTGTCAAAAGGAAGGTTCAACACTGTTACTTGAGTACACACAACACAAAGAAGTTTCTGAGAATGCTTCTTTCTGGTTTTTATGAGAAGATATTTCCTTTTTCACCATAGGCCTCAAAGCGCTCGAAATGTCCGCTTCCAGGTAGTGCAGAAAGAGTGTTTCAAACCTGCTCTATGAAAGGAAGTGTTCAACTCTACTGAGTTGAATGCAAACATCACAGAGATGTTTCCGAGAATGCTTCTGTCTTGATTTTATAGGAAGATATTCCGGTTTCCAACGAAATCTTCAAAGCTATCCACATATCCACCTGCAGATTCTACAAAAGGAGTGTTTCCAAAATGCTGTATCAAAACAAAGGTTCAACTCTGTTAGTTGAGGACACACATCACAAATAAGTTTCTGAGAATGCTTCTGTCTAGTTTTTATTTGAAGGTATTTCCTTTCTCTCCATAGGCCTGAAAGCGCTTGAAATGCCCACTTCCAGATACTAGAGAAAGAGTGTTTCAAACCTGCTCTATGAAAGGGAATGTTCAATTCTGTGACTTGAATGCAAACATCACAAAGAAGTTCCTGAGAATGCTTCTCTCTAGATTTTATACGTAATCCCGCTTCCAACGAAATCCTCAGAGCCATCCGAATATCCACTTTCTGATTCCACAAAAAGAGTGTTTCAAAACTGCTCTGTCAAAAGGATGGTTCAACACTGTTACATGAGTACACACAACACAAAGAAGTTTCTGAGAATGCTTCTTTCTGGTTTCTATGAGAAGATATTTCCTTTTTCACCATAGGACTCAAAGCGCTCGAAATGTCCTCTTCCAGGTAGTGCAGAAAGAGTGTTTCAAACCTGCTCTATGAAAGGAAGTGTACAACTCCATGAGCTGAATGCAAACATCACTGAGAAGTTTCTGAGAATGCTTCTGTTTGATTTTATATGAAGAAATTCCCGTTTCCAACGAAATCTTCAGAGCTATCCACATATCCACCTGCAGATTCTACAAAAGGAGTGTTTCCAAAATGCTGTATCAAAACCAAGGTTCAACTCTGTTAGTTGAGGACACACATCACAAATAAGTTTCTGAGAATGCTTCTGTCTAGATTTTATATGAAGATATCCCCTTTCCAACGAATCCCTCTAAGCTATCAAAATATCCACCTGCAGATTCTACAAAAAGAGTGTTTCCAAAATGCTGTATCAAAACAAAGTTTCAACTCTGTTAGTTGAGGACACACATCACAAATAAGTTTCTGAGGATGCTTCTGTCTAGTTTTTATTCGAAGATATTTCCTTTCTCACCATAGGCCTGAAAGCGCTTGAAATGTCCACTTCCAGATACTACAGAATGAGTGTTTCAAACCTGCTCTATAAAAGTGAATGTTCAATTCCGTGACTTCAATGCAAACATCACAAAGAAGTTCCTGAGAATGCTTCTCTCTAGATTTTATACGTAATCCCGCTTCCAACGAAATCCTCAGAGCCATCCGAATATCCACTTTCTGATTCCACAAAAAGAGTGTTTTAAAACGGCTCTGTAAAAACAAAAGTTCAACTCTGTTAGTTGAATACACACATCACAAACAAGTTTCTGAGAATGCTTCTGTCTAGTTTTTATGGGAAGATATTTCCTTTTTCACCATAGGCCTCAAAGCGCTCGAAATGTCCGCTTCCAGATAGTGCAGAAAGAGTGTTTCAAACGTGCTCTATAAAAGGGAATATTCAACTCTGTGACTTGAATGGAAACATCACAAAGCAGTTTCTGAGAATGCTTCCCTCTAGATTTTATATGGAGATATTCCCTTTTCCAACGAAATCTTCAAATCTATCTAAATATCAACTTGCAGATTCTACTCAAGGAATGTTTCCAAAATGCTGTATGCAAGCAATGGTTCAACTCTGTTAATTGAGGTCATACAGCACAAAGAAGTTTCTGAGAATGCTTCTGTCTAGATTTTATATGAAGATATCCCGTTTCCAACGAAATCCTCAAAGCTATCCAAATATCCACTTGCAGATTCTACAAAAAGATTGTTTCAAAACTGCTGTGTCAAAAGGAAGGTTCAACTCTGTTACTTGAGTACACACATCAAAAAGAAGTTTCTGAGAATGCTTGTTTCTGGTTTTTATGAGAAGATATTTCCTTTTTCACCATAGGCCTCAAAGCGCTGCAAATGTCCACTTCCAAATATTACAAAAAGAGTGTTTCAAACCTGCTCTATGAAAGGAAGTTTTCAACTCTATGAGTGGAATGCAAACATCACAGAGAAGTTTCTGAGAATGCATCTGTCTTGAGTTTATATGCAGAAATTCCCGTTTCCAACGAAATCTTAAAATCTATCCAAATATCCACCTGCAGATCCTACAAAAGGAGTGTTTCCAAAATGCTGTATCAAAACAAAGGTTCAACTGTGTTCGTTTAGGACACACATCACAAATAAGTTTCTGAGAATCCTTCTGTCTAGTTTTTATTTGAAGATATTTCCTTTCTCCCCGTAGGCCTGAAAGCGCTTGAAATGTCCACTTCCAGATACTACAGAAAGAGTGTGTTTCAAACCTGCACTCTGAAAAGGAATGTTCAATTCTGTGACTTGAATGCAAACATCAGAAAGAAGTTCTTGAGAATGCTTCTCTCTAGATTTTATACGTCATCCCGTTTCCAACGAAATCCACAAAGCTATCCAATTATCCACTTTCAGATTCCACAAAAAGAGTGTTTTAAAATTGCTCTGTAACAGAAATGTTCAACTCTGGTAGTTGAATACACACATCACAAACAAGTTTCTGAGACGGCTTCTGTCTAGTTTTTATGGGAAGATATTTCCTTTTAACCATAGGCCTCAAAGAGCTCGAAATATCCACTTCCAGGTAGTGCCGAAAGAGTGTTTCAAACCTACTCTATAAAAGGGAATATTCAACTCTGTGACTTGAATGCAAACATCACAAAGCAGTTTCTGAGAATGCTTCCGTCTAGATTTTCTATGAAGATATTCCCGTTTCCAACGAAATCTTCAAAGCTATCTAAATATCAACTTGCAGATTCTACTAAAGGAATGTCTCCAAAATGCTGTATCCAAACAAAGGTTCAGCTCTGTGAATTGAGGACATACAGCACAAAGTAGTTTCTGAGAATGCTCCTGTCTGGATTTTATATGAAGATAACCCGTTTCCAACGAAATCCTCAAAGCTATCCAAATATCCACTTGCAGATTCTACCAAAAGAGTGTTTCAAAACTGCTCTGTCAAAAGGAAGGTTCAACACTGTTACTTGAGTACACACAACACAAAGAAGTTTCTGAGAATGCTTCTTTCTGGTTTTTATGAGAAGATATTTCCTTTTTCACCATAGGCCTCAAAGAGCTCGAAATGTCCGCTTCCAGGTAGGGCAGAAAGAGTGTTTCAAACCTGCTCTATGAAAGGAAGTGTTCAACTCTACTGAGTTGAATGCAAACATCACAGAGATGTTTCCGAGAATGCTTCTGTCTTGATTTTATATGAAGATATTCCGGTTTCCAACGAAATCTTCAAAGCTATCCAAATATCCACCTGCAGATTCTACAAAAGGAGTGTTTCCAAAATGCTGTATCAAAACAAAGGTTCAACTCTGTTAGTTGAGGACACACATCACAAATAAGTTTCTGAGAATGCTTCTGTCTAGTTTTTATTTGAAGGTATTTCCTTTCTCTCCATAGGCCTGAAAGCGCTTGAAATGCCCACTTCCAGATACTAGAGAAAGAGTGTTTCAAACCTGCTCTATGAAAGGGAATGTTCAATTCTGTGACTTGAATGCAAACATCACAAAGAAGTTCCTGAGAATGCTTCTCTCTAGATATTATATGTCATCCCGTTTCCAACGAAATCCTCAAAGCTATCCAAATATCCACTTGCAGATTCTACAAAAAGAGTGTTTCAAAACTGCTCTGTCAAAAGGATGGTTCAACACTGTTACATGAGTACACACAACACAAAGAAGTTTCTGAGAATGCTTCTTTCTGGTTTTTATGAGAAGATATTTCCTTTTTCACCATAGGACTTAAAGCGCTCGAAATGTCCTCTTCCAGGTAGTGCAGAAAGAGTGTTTCAAACCTGCTCTATGAAAGGAAGTGTTCAACTCCATGAGCTGAATGCAAACATCAGTGAGAAGTTTCTGAGAATGCTTCTGTTTGATTTTCTATGAAGAAATTCCCGTTTCCAACGAAATCTTCAGAGCTATCCACATATCCACCTGCAGATTCTACAAAAGGAGTGTTTCCAAAATGCTGTATCAAAACCAAGGTTCAACTTTGTTAGTTGAGGACACACATCACAAATAAGTTTCTGAGAATGCTTCTGTCTAGATTCTATATGAAGATATCCCCTTTCCAACGAATCCCTCTAAGCTATCCAAATATCCACCTGCAGATTCTACAAAAAGAGTGTTTCCAAAATGCTGTATCAAAACAAAGTTTCAACTCTGTTAGTTGAGGACACACATCACAAATAAGTTTGAGGATGCTTCTGTCTAGTTTTTATTCGAAGATATTTCCTTTCTCACCATAGGCCTGAAAGCGCTTGAAATGTCCACTTCCAGATACTACAGAATGAGTGTTTCAAACCTGCTCTATCAAAGTGAATGTTCAATTCTGTGACTTCAATGCAAACATCACAAAGAAGTTCCTGAGAATGCTTCTCTCTAGATTTTATATGTAATCCCGCTTCCAACGAAATCCTCAGAGCCATCCGAATATCCACTTTCTGATTCCACAAAAAGAGTGTTTTAAAACGGCTCTGTAAAAACAAAAGTTCAACTCTGTTAGTTGAATACACACATCACAAACAAGTTTCTGAGAATGCTTCTGTCTAGTTTTTATGGGAAGATATTTCCTTTTTCACCATAGGCCTCACAGCGCTCGAAATGTCCACTTCCAGATAGTGCAGAAAGAGTGTTTCAAACGTGCTCTATAAAAGGGAATATTCAACTCTGTGACTTGAATGGAAACATCACAAAGCAGTTTCTGAGAATGCTTCCCTCTAGATTTTATATGGAGATATTCCGTTTTCGAACGAAATCTTCAAATCTATCTAAATATCAACTTGCAGATTCTACTCAAGGAATGTTTCCAAAATGCTGTATGCAAGCAATGGTTCAACTCTGTTAATTGAGGTCATACAGCACAAAGAAGTTTCTGAGAATGCTTCTGTCTAGATTTTATATGAAGATATCCCGTTTCCAACGAAATCCTCAAAGCTATCCAAATATCCACTTGCAGATTCTACAAAAAGATTGTTTCAAAACTGCTGTGTCAAAAGGAAGGTTCAACTCTGTTACTTGAGTACACACATCAAAAAGAAGTTTCTGAGAATGCTTGTTTCTGGTTTTTATGAGAAGATATTTCCTTTTTCACCATAGGCCTCAAAGCGCTGCAAATGTCCACTTCCAAATATTACAAAAAGAGTGTTTCAAACCTGCTCTATGAAAGGAAGTTTTCAACTCTATGAGTGGAATGCAAACATCACAGAGAAGTTTCTGAGAATGCATCTGTCTTGAGCGTCTATGAAGAAATTCCCGTTTCCAACGAAATCTTAAAATCTATCCAAATATCCACCTGCAGATCCTACAAAAGGAGTGTTTCCAAAATGCTGTATCAAAACAAAGGTTCAACTGTGTTCGTTTAGGACACACATCACAAATAAGTTTCTGAGAATCCTTCTGTCTAGTTTTTATTTGAAGATATTTCCTTTCTCCCCGTAGGCCTGAAAGCGCTTGAAATGTCCACTTCCAGATACTACAGAAAGAGTGTTTCAAACCTGCACTCTGAAAAGGAATGTTCAATTCTGTGACTTGAATGCAAACATCAGAAAGAAGTTCCTGAGAATGCTTCTCTCTAGATTTTATACGTCATCCCGTTTCCAACGAAATCCACAAAGCTATCCAATTATCCACTTTCAGATTCCACAAAGAGTGTTTTAAAATTGCTCTGTAACAGAAATGTTCAACTCTGTTAGTTGAATACACACATCACAAACAAGTTTCTGAGACGGCTTCTGTCTAGTTTTTATGGGAAGATATTTCCTTTTAACCATAGGCCTCAAAGAGCTCGAAATATCCACTTCCAGGTAGTGCCGAAAGAGTGTTTCAAACCTACTCTATAAAAGGGAATATTCAACTCTGTGACTTGAATGCAAACATCACAAAGCAGTTTCTGAGAATGCTTCCGTCTAGATTTTCTATGAAGATATTCCCGTTTCCAACGAAATCTTCAAAGCTATCTAAATATCAACTTGCAGATTCTACTAAAGGAATGTCTCCAAAATGCTGTATCCAAACAAAGGTTCAGCTCTGTGAATTGAGGACATACAGCACAAAGAAGTTTCTGAGAATGCTCCTGTCTGGATTTTATATGAAGATAACCCGTTTCCAACGAAATCCTCAAAGCTCTCCAAATATCCACTTGCAGATTCTACCAAAAGAGTGTTTCAAAACTGCTCTGTCAAAAGGAAGGTTCAACACTGTTACTTGAGTACACACAACACAAAGAAGTTTCTGAGAATGCTTCTTTCTGGTTTTTATGAGAAGATATTTCCTTTTTCACCATAGGCCTCAAAGCGCTCGAAATGTCCGCTTCCAGGTAGTGCAGAAAGAGTGTTTCAAACCTGCTCTATGAAAGGAAGTGTTCAACTCTACTGAGTTGAATGCAAACATCACAGAGATGTTTCCGAGAATGCTCTGTCTTGATTTTATATGAAGATATTCCGGTTTCCAACGAAATCTTCAAAGCTATCCAAATATCCACCTGCAGATTCTACAAAAGGAGTGTTTCCAAAATGCTGTATCAAAACCAAGGTTCAACTCTGTTAGTTGAGGACACACATCACAAATAAGTTTCTGAGAATGCTTTCTGTCTAGTTTTTATTTGAAGGTATTTCCTTTCTCTCCATAGGCCTGAAGCGCTTGAAATGCCCACTTCCAGATACTAGAGAAAGAGTGTTTCAAACCTGCTCTATGAAAGGGAATGTTCAATTCTGTGACTTGAATGCAAACATCACAAAGAAGTTCCTGAGAATGCTTCTCTCTAGATATTATATGTCATCCCGTTTCCAACGAAATCCTCAAAGCTATCCAAATATCCACTTGCAGATTCTACAAAAAGAGTGTTTCAAAACTGCTCTGTCAAAAGGATGGTTCAACACTGTTACATGAGTACACACAACACAAAGAAGTTTCTGAGAATGCTTCTTTCTGGTTTCTATGAGAAGATATTTCCTTTTTCACCATAGGACTCAAAGCGCTCGAAATGTCCTCTTCCAGGTAGTGCAGAAAGAGTGTTTCAAACCGGCTCTATGAAGGGAAGTGTTCAACTCCATGAACTGAATGCAAACATCACTGAGAAGTTTCTGAGAATGCTTCTGTTTGATTTTATATGAAGAAATTCCCGTTTCCAACGAAATCTTCAGTAGCTATCCACATATCCACCTGCAGATTCTACAAAAGGAGTGTTTCCAAAATGCTGTATCAAAACCAAGGTTCAACTCTGTTAGTTGAGGACACACATCACAAATAAGTTTCTGAGAATGCTTCTGTCTAGATTTTATATGAATTTATCCCCTTTCCAACGAATCCCTCTAAGCTATCCAAGTATCCACCTGCAGATTCTACAAAAAGAGTGTTTCCAAAATGCTGTATCAAAACAAAGTTTCAACTCTGTTAGTTGAGGACACACATCACAAATAAGTTTCTGAGGATGCTTCTGTCTAGTTTTAATTTGAAGATATTTCCTTTCTCCCCATAGGCCTGAAAGCACTTGAAATGTCCACTTCCAGATACTACAGAATGAGTGTTTCAAACCTGCTCTATCAAAGTGAATGTTCAATTCTGTGACTTCAATGCAAACATCACAAAGTAGTTCCTGAGAATGCTTCTCTCTAGATTTTATATGTAATCACGCTTCCAACGAAATCCTCAAAGCCATCCGAATATCCACTTTCTGATTCCACAAAAAGATTGTTTTAAAACTGCTCTGTAAAAACAAAAGTTCAAGTCTGTTAGTTGAATACACACATCACAAACAAGTTTCTGAGAATGCTTCTGTCTAGTTTTTATGGGAAGATATTTCCTTTTTCACCATAGGCCTCAAAGCGCTCGAAATGTCCACTTCCAGATAGTGCAGAAAGAGTGTTTCAAACGTGCTCTATAAAAGAGAATATTCAACTCTGTGACTTGAATGGAAACATCACAAAGCAGTTTCTGAGAATGCCTCCGTCTAGATTTTATATGAAGATATTCCCGTTTCCAACGAAATCTTCAAAGCTATCTAAATATCAACTTGCAGATTCTACTAAAGGAATGTTTCCAAAATGCTGTATCCAAGCAATGGTTCAACTCTGTTAATTGAGGACATACAGCACAAAGAAGTTTCTGAGAATGCTCCTGTCTGGATTTTATATGAGGATAACCCGTTTCCAACGAAATCCTCAAAGCTCTCCAAATATCCACTTGCAGATTCTACCAAAAGAGTGTTTCAAAACTGCTCTGTGAAAAGGAAGGTTCAACACTGTTACTTGAGTACACACAACACAAAGAAGTTTCTGAGAATGCTTCTTTCTGGTTTTTATGAGAAGATATTTCCTTTTTCACCATAGGCCTCAAAGCGCTCGAAATGTCCGCTTCCAGGTAGTGCAGAAAGAGTGTTTCAAACCTGCTCTATGAAAGGGAAGTGTTCAACTCTACTGAGTTGAATGCAAACATCACAGAGATGTTTCCGAGAATGCTTCTGTCTTGATTTTATATGAAGATATTCCGGTTTCCAACGAAATCTTCAAAGCTATCCAAATATCCACCTGCAGATTCTACAAAAGGAGTGTTTCCAAAATGCTGTATCAAAACAAAGGTTCAACTCTGTTAGTTGAGGACACACATCACAAATAAGTTTCTGAGAATGCTTCTGTCTAGTTTTTATTTGAAGGTATTTCCTTTCTCTCCATAGGCCTGAAAGCGCTTGAAATGCCCACTTCCAGATACTAGAGAAAGAGTGTTTCAAACCTGCTCTATGAAAGGGAATGTTCAATTCTGTGACTTGAATGCAAACATCACAAAGAAGTTCCTGAGAATGCTTCTCTCTAGATATTATATGTCATCCCGTTTCCAACGAAATCCTCAAAGCTATCCAAATATCCACTTGCAGATTCTACAAAAAGAGTGTTTCAAAACTGCTCTGTCAAAAGGATGGTTCAACACTGTTACATGAGTACACACAACACAAAGAAGTTTCTGAGAATGCTTCTTTCTGGTTTCTATGAGAAGATATTTCCTTTTTCACCATAGGACTCAAAGCGCTCGAAATGTCCTCTTCCAGGTAGTGCAGAAAGAGTGTTTCAAACTTGCTCTATGAAAGGAAGTGTACAACTCCATGAGCTGAATGCAAACATCACTGAGAAGTTTCTGAGAATGCTTCTGTTTGATTTTATATGAAGAAATTCCCGTTTCCAACGAAATCTTCAGAGCTATCCACATATCCACATGCAGATTCTACAAAAGGAGTGTTTCCAAAATGCTGTATCAAAACCAAGGTTCAACTCTGTTAGTTGAGGACACACATCACAAATAAGTTTCTGAGAATGCTTCTGTCTAGATTTTATGTGAAGATATCCCCTTTCCAACGAATCCCTCTAAGCTATCCAAATAGCCACCTGCAGATTCTACGAAAGGAGTGTTTCCAAAAGGCTGTATCAAAACAAAGTTTCAACTCTGTTAGTTGAGGACACACATCACAAATAAGTTTCTGAGGATGCTTCTGTCTAGTTTTTATTTGAAGATATCTCCTTTCTCTCCATAGGCCTGAAAGCGCTTGAAATGTCCACTTCCAGATACTACAGAATGAGTGTTTCAACCCTGCTCTATAAAAGTGAATGTTCAATTCTGTGACTTCAATGCAAACATCACAAAGTAGTTCCTGAGAATGCTTCTCTCTAGATTTTATACGTAATCCCGCTTCCAACGAAATCCTCAGAGCCATCCGAATATCCACTTTCTGATTCCACAAAAAGAGTGTTTTAAAACGGCTCTGTAAAAACAAAAGTTCAACTCTGTTAGTTGAATACACACATCACAAACAAGTTTCTGAGAATGCTTCTGTCTAGTTTTTATGGGAAGATATTTCCTTTTTCACCATAGGCCTCAAAGCGCTCGAAATGTCCGCTTCCAGATAGTGCAGAAAGAGTGTTTCAAACGTGCTCTATAAAAGGGAATATTCAACTCTGTGACTTGAATGGAAACATCACAAAGCAGTTTCTGAGAATGCTTCCCTCTAGATTTTATATGGAGATATTCCCTTTTCCAACGAAATCTTCAAATCTATCTAAATATCAACTTGCAGATTCTACTCAAGGAATGTTTCCAAAATGCTGTATCCAGGCAATGGTTCAACTCTGTTAATTGAGGACATACAGCACAGAGAAGTTTCTGAGAATGCTTCTGTCTAGATTTTATATGAAGATATCCCGTTTCCAACGAAATCCTCAAAGCTATCCAAATATCCACTTGCAGATTCTACAAAAAGATTGTTTCAAAACTGCTGTGTCAAGAGGAAGGTTCAACTCTGTTACTTGAGTACACACATCAAAAAGAAGTTTCTGAGAATGCTTGTTTCTGGTTTTTATGAGAAGATATTTCCTTTTTCACCATAGGCCTCAAAGCGCTGCAAATGTCCACTTCCAAATATTACAAAAAGAGTGTTTCAAACCTGCTCTATGAAAGGAAGTTTTCAACTCTATGAGTGGAATGCAAACATCACAGAGAAGTTTCTGAGAATGCATCTGTCTTGAGTTTATATGCAGAAATTCCCGTTTCCAACGAAATTTTAAAATCTCTCCAAATATCCACCTGCAGATCCTACAAAAGGAGTGTTTCCAAAATGCTGTATCAAAACAAAGGTTCAACTGTGTTCGTTTAGGACACACATCACAAATAAGTTTCTGAGAATCCTTCTCTCTAGTTTTTATTTGAAGATATTTCCTTTCTCCCCGTAGGCCTGAAAGCGCTTGAAATGTCCACTTCCAGATACTACAGAAAGAGTGTTTCAAACCTGCACTCTGAAAAGGAATGTTCAATTCTGTGACTTGAATGCAAACATCAGAAAGAAGTTCCTGAGAATGCTTCTCTCTAGATTTTATACGTCATCCCGTTTCCAACGAAATCCACAAAGCTATCCAATTATCCACTTTCAGATTCCACAAAGAGTGTTTTAAAATTGCTCTGTAACAGAAATGTTCAACTCTGTTAGTTGAATACACACATCACAAACAAGTTTCTGAGACGGCTTCTGTCTAGTTTTTATGGGAAGATATTTCCTTTTAACCATAGGCCTCATAAGAGCTCGAAATATCCACTTCCAGGTAGTGCCGAAAGAGTGTTTCAAACCTACTCTATAAAAGGGAATATTCAACTCTGTGACTTGAATGCAAACATCACAAAGCAGTTTCTGAGAATGCTTCCGTCTAGATTTTCTATGAAGATATTCCCGTTTCCAGTGAAATCTTCAAAGCTATCTAAATATCAACTTGCAGATTCTACTAAAGGAAAGTTTCCAAAATGCTGTATCCAAACAAAGGTTCAGCTCTGTGAATTGAGGACATACAGCACAAAGAAGTTTCTGAGAATGCTCCTGTCTGGATTTTATATGAAGATAACCCGTTTCCAACGAAATCCTCAAAGCTCTCCAAATATCCACTTGCAGATTCTACCAGAAGAGTGTTTCAAAACTGCTGTGTCAAAAATAAGGTTCAACTCTGTTACTTGAGTACACACATCAAAAATAACTTTCTGAGAATGCTTCTTTCTGGTTTTTATGAGAAGATATTTCCTTTTTCACCATAGGCCTCAAAGAGCTCGAAATGTCCGCTTCCAGGTAGTGCAGAAAGAGTGTTTCAAACCTGCTCTATGAAAGGAAGTGTTCAACTCTACTGAGTTGAATGCAAACATCACAGAGATGTTTCCGAGAATGCTTCTGTCTTGATTTTATATGAAGATATTCCGGTTTCCAACGAAATCTTCAAAGCTATGCAAATATCCACCTGCAGATTCTACAAAAGGAGTGTTTCCAAAATGCTGTATCAAAACAAAGGTTCAACTCTGTTAGTTGAGGACACACATCACAAATAAGTTTCTGAGAATGCTTCTGTCTAGTTTTTATTTGAAGGTATTTCCTTTCTCTCCATAGGCCTGAAAGCGCTTGAAATGCCCACTTCCGGATACTAGAGAAAGAGTGTTTCAAACCTGCTCTATGAAAGGGAATGTTCAATTCTGTGACTTGAATGCAAACATCACAAAGAAGTTCCTGAGAATGCTTCTCTCTAGATATTATATGTCATCCCGTTTCCAACGAAATCCTCAAAGCTATCCAAATATCCACTTGCAGATTCTACAAAAAGAGTGTTTCAAAACTCCTCTGTCAAAAGGATGGTTCAACACTGTTACATGAGTACACACAACACAAAGAAGTTTCTGAGAATGCTTCTTTCTGGTTTCTATGAGAAGATATTTCCTTTTTCACCATAGGACTCAAAGCGCTCGAAATGTCCTCTTCCAGGTAGTGCAGAAAGAGTGTTTCAAACCTGCTCTATGAAAGGAAGTGTACAACTCCATGAGCTGAATGCAAACATCACTGAGAAGTTTCTGAGAATGCTTCTGTTTGATTTTATATGAAGAAATTCCCGTTTCCAACGAAATCTTCAGAGCTATCCACATATCCACCTGCAGATTCTACAAAAGGAGTGTTTCCAAAATGCTGTATCAAAACCAAGGTTCAACTCTGTTAGTTGAGGACACACATCACAAATAAGTTTCTGAGAATGCTTCTGTCTAGATTTTATATGAAGATATCCCCTTTCCAACGAATCCCTCTAAGCTATCCAAATATCCACCTGCAGATTCTACAAAAAGAGTGTTTCCAAAATGCTGTATCAAAACAAAGTTTCAACTCTGTTAGTTGAGGACACACATCACAAATAAGTTTCTGAGGATGCTTCTGTCTAGTTTTTATTCGAAGATATTTCCTTTCTCACCATAGGCCTGAAAGCGCTTGAAATGTCCACTTCCAGATACTACAGAATGAGTGTTTCAAACCTGCTCTATAAAAGTGAATGTTCAATTCCGTGACTTCAATGCAAACATCAGAAAGAAGTTCCTGAGAATGCTTCTCTCTAGATTTTATACATAATCCCGCTTCCAACGAAATCCTCAGAGCCATCCGAATATCCACTTTCTGATTCCACAAAAAGAGTGTTTTAAAACGGCTCTGTAAAAACAAAAGTTCAACTCTGTTAGTTGAATACACACATCACAAACAAGTTTCTGAGAATGCTTCTGTCTAGTTTTTATGGGAAGATATTTCCTTTTTCACCATAGGCCTCAAAGCGCTCGAAATGTCCGCTTCCAGATAGTGCAGAAAGAGTGTTTCAAACGTGCTCTATAAAAGGGAATATTCAACTCTGTGACTTGAATGGAAACATCACAAAGCAGTTTCTGAGAATGCTTCCCTCTAGATTTTATATGGAGATATTCCCTTTTCCAACGAAATCTTCAAATCTATCTAAATATCAACTTGCAGATTCTACTCAAGGAATGTTTCCAAAATGCTGTATCCAGGCAATGGTTCAACTCTGTTAATTGAGGACATACAGCACAAAGAAGTTTCTGAGAATGCTTCTGTCTAGATTTTATATGAAGATATCCCGTTTCCAACGAAATCCTCAAAGCTATCCAAATATCCACTTGCAGATTCTACAAAAAGATTGTTTCAAAACTGCTGTGTCAAGAGGAAGGTTCAACTCTGTTACTTGAGTACACACATCAAAAAGAAGTTTCTGAGAATGCTTGTTTCTGGTTTTTATAGAGAAGATATTTCCTTTTTCACCATAGGCCTCAAAGCGCTGCAAATGTCCACTTCCAAATATTACAAAAAGAGTGTTTCAAACCTGCTCTATGAAAGGAAGTTTTCAACTCTATGAGTGGAATGCAAACATCACAGAGAAGTTTCTGAGAATGCATCTGTCTTGAGCTTCTATGAAGAAATTCCCGTTTCCAACGAAATCTTAAAATCTATCCAAATATCCACCTGCAGATCCTACAAAAGGAGTGTTTCCAAAATGCTGTATCAAAACAAAGGTTCAACTGTGTTCGTTTAGGACACACATCACAAATAAGTTTCTGAGAATCCTTCTGTCTAGTTTTTATTTGAAGATATTTCCTTTCTCCCCACAGGCCTGAAAGCGCTTGAAATGTCCACTTCCAGATACTACAGAAAGAGTGTTTCAAACCTGCACTATGAAAAGGAATGTTCAATTCTGTGACTTGAATGCAAACATCAGAAAGAAGTTCCTGAGAATGCTTCTCTCTAGATTTTATACGTCATCCCGTTTCCAACGAAATCCACAAAGCTATCCAATTATCCACTTTTAGATTCCACAAAAGAGTGTTTTAAAACTGCTCTGTAAAAAGAAATGTTCAACGCTCTTAGTTGAATACACACATCTCAAACAAGTTTCTGAGAAGGCTTCTGTCTAGTTTTTATGGGAAGATATTTCCTTTTAACCATAGGCCTCAAAGAGCTCGAAATATCCACTTCCAGGTAGTGCCGAAAGAGTGTTTCAAACCTACTCTATAAAAGGGAATATTCAACTCTGTGACTTGAATGCAAACATCACAAAGCAGTTTCTGAGAATGCTTCCGTCTAGATTTTCTATGAAGATATTCCCGTTTCCATCGAAATCTTCAAAGCTATCTAAATATCAACTTGCAGATTCTACTAAAGGAATGTCTCCAAAATGCTGTATCCAAACAAAGGTTCAGCTCTGTGAATTGAGGACATACAGCACAAAGAAGTTTCTGAGAATGCTCCTGTCTGGATTTTATATGAAGATAACCCGTTTCCAACGAAATCCTCAAATCTCTCCAAATATCCACTTGCAGATTCTACCAAAAGAGTGTTTCAAAACTGCTCTGTCAAAAGGAAGGTTCAACACTGTTACTTGAGTACACACAACACAAAGAAGTTTCTGAGAATGCTTCTTTCTGGTTTTTATGAGAAGATATTTCCTTTTTCACCATAGGCCTCAAAGCGCTCGAAATGTCCACTTCCAGGTAGTGCAGAAAGAGTGTTTCAAACCTGCTCTATGAAAGGAAGTGTTCAACTCTACTGAGTTGAATGCAAACATCACAGAGATGTTTCCGAGAATGCTTCTGTCTTGATTTTATATGAAGATATTCCGGTTTCCAACGAAATCTTCAAAGCTATCCAAATATCCACCTGCAGATTCTACAAAAGGAGTGTTTCCAAAATGCTGTATCAAAACAAAGGTTCAACTCTGTTAGTTGAGGACACACATCACAAATAAGTTTCTGAGAATGCTTCTGTCTAGTTTTTATTTGAAGGTATTTCCTTTCTCTCCATAGGCCTGAAAGCGCTTGAAATGCCCACTTCCAGATACTAGAGAAAGAGTGTTTCAAACCTGCTCTATGAAAGGGAATGTTCAATTCTGTGACTTGAATGCAAACATCACAAAGAAGTTCCTGAGAATGCTTCTCTCTAGATATTATATGTCATCCCGTTTCCAACGAAATCCTCAAAGCTATCCAAATATCCACTTGCAGATTCTACAAAAAGAGTGTTTCAAAACTGCTCTGTCAAAAGGATGGTTCAACACTGTTACATGAGTACACACAACACAAAGAAGTTTCTGAGAATGCTTCTTTCTGGTTTCTATGAGAAGATATTTCCTTTTTCACCATAGGACTCAAAGCGCTCGAAATGTCCTCTTCCAGGTAGTGCAGAAAGAGTGTTTCAAACCTGCTCTATGAAAGGAAGTGTACAACTCCATGAGCTGAATGCAAACATCACTGAGAAGTTTCTGAGAATGCTTCTGTTTGATTTTATATGAAGAAATTCCCGTTTCCAACGAAATCTTCAGAGCTATCCACATATCCACCTGCAGATTCTACAAAAGGAGTGTTTCCAAAATGCTGTATCAAAACCAAGGTTCAACTCTGTTAGTTGAGGACACACATCACAAATAAGTTTCTGAGAATGCTTCTGTCTAGATTTTATATGAAGATATCCCCTTTCCAACGAATCCCTCTAAGCTATCCAAATATCCACCTGCAGATTCTACAAAAAGAGTGTTTCCAAAATGCTGTATCAAAACAAAGTTTCAACTCTGTTAGTTGAGGACACACATCACAAATAAGTTTGAGGATGCTTCTGTCTAGTTTTTATTCGAAGATATTTCCTTTCTCACCATAGGCCTGAAAGCGCTTGAAATGTCCACTTCCAGATCCTACAGAATGAGTGTTTCAAACCTGCTCTATCAAAGTGAATGTTCAATTCTGTGACTTCAATGCAAACATCACAAAGAAGTTCCTGAGAATGCTTCTCTCTAGATTTTATATGTAATCCCGCTTCCAACGAAATCCTCAGAGCCATCCGAATATCCACTTTCTGATTCCACAAAAAGAGTGTTTTAAAACGGCTCTGTAAAAACAAAAGTTCAACTCTGTTAGTTGAATACACACATCACAAACAAGTTTCTGAGAATGCTTTCTGTCTAGTTTTTATGGGAAGATATTTCCTTTTTCACCATAGGCCTCAAAGCGCTCGAAATGTCCACTTCCAGATAGTGCAGAAAGAGTGTTTCAAACGTGCTCTATAAAAGGGAATATTCAACTCTGTGACTTGAATGGAAACATCACAAAGCAGTTTCTGAGAATGCTTCCCTCTAGATTTTATATGGAGATATTCCGTTTTCGAACGAAATCTTCAAATCTATCTAAATATCAACTTGCAGATTCTACTCAAGGAATGTTTCCAAAATGCTGTATGCAAGCAATGGTTCAACTCTGTTAATTGAGGTCATACAGCACAAAGAAGTTTCTGAGAATGCTTCTGTCTAGATTTTATATGAAGATATCCCGTTTCCAACGAAATCCTCAAAGCTATCCAAATATCCACTTGCAGATTCTACAAAAAGATTGTTTCAAAACTGCTGTGTCAAAAGGAAGGTTCAACTCTGTTACTTGAGTACACACATCAAAAAGAAGTTTCTGAGAATGCTTGTTTCTGGTTTTTATGAGAAGATATTTCCTTTTTCACCATAGGCCTCAAAGCGCTGCAAATGTCCACTTCCAAATATTACAAAAAGAGTGTTTCAAACCTGCTCTATGAAAGGAAGTTTTCAACTCTATGAGTGGAATGCAAACATCACAGAGAAGTTTCTGAGAATGCATCTGTCTTGAGCTTCTATGAAGAAATTCCCGTTTCCAACGAAATCTTAAAATCTATCCAAATATCCACCTGCAGATCCTACAAAAGGAGTGTTTCCAAAATGCTGTATCAAAACAAAGGTTCAACTGTGTTCGTTTAGGACACACATCACAAATAAGTTTCTGAGAATCCTTCTGTCTAGTTTTTATTTGAAGATATTCCCTTTCTCCCCGTAGGCCTGAAAGCGCTTGAAATGTCCACTTCCAGATACTACAGAAAGAGTGTTTCAAACCTGCACTCTGAAAAGGAATGTTCAATTCTGTGACTTGAATGCAAACATCAGAAAGAAGTTCCTGAGAATGCTTCTCTCTAGATTTTATACGTCATCCCGTTTCCAACGAAATCCACAAAGCTATCCAATTATCCACTTTCAGATTCCACAAAGAGTGTTTTAAAATTGCTCTGTAACAGAAATGTTCAACTCTGTTAGTTGAATACACACATCACAAACAAGTTTCTGAGACGGCTTCTGTCTAGTTTTTATGGGAAGATATTTCCTTTTAACCATAGGCCTCAAAGAGCTCGAAATATCCACTTCCAGGTAGTGCCGAAAGAGTGTTTCAAACCTACTCTATAAAAGGGAATATTCAACTCTGTGACTTGAATGCAAACATCACAAAGCAGTTTCTGAGAATGCTTCCGTCTAGATTTTCTATGAAGATATTCCCGTTTCCAACGAAATCTTCAAAGCTATCTAAATATCAACTTGCAGATTCTACTAAAGGAATGTCTCCAAAATGCTGTATCCAAACAAAGGTTCAGCTCTGTGAATTGAGGACATACAGCACAAAGAAGTTTCTGAGAATGCTCCTGTCTGGATTTTATATGAAGATAACCCGTTTCCAACGAAATCCTCAAAGCTATCCAAATATCCACTTGCAGATTCTACCAAAAGAGTGTTTCAAAACTGCTCTGTCAAAAGGAAGGTTCAACACTGTTACTTGAGTACACACAACACAAAGAAGTTTCTGAGAATGCTTCTTTCTGGTTTTTATGAGAAGACATTTCCTTTTTCACCATAGGCCTCAAAGCGCTCGAAATGTCCACTTCCAGGTAGTGCAGAAAGAGTGTTTCAAACCTGCTCTATGAAAGGAAGTGTTCAACTCTACTGAGTTGAATGCAAACATCACAGAAGATGTTTCCGAGAATGCTTCTGTCTTGATTTTATAGGAAGATATTCCGGTTTCCAACGAAATCTTCAAAGCTATCCACATATCCACCTGCAGATTCTACAAAAGGAGTGTTTCCAAAATGCTGTATCAAAACAAAGGTTCAACTCTGTTAGTTGAGGACACACATCACAAATAAGTTTCTGAGAATGCTTCTGTCTAGTTTTTATTTGAAGGTACTTCCTTTCTCTCCATAGGCCTGAAAGCGCTTGAAATGCCCACTTCCAGATACTAGAGAAAGTGTTTCAAACCTGCTCTATGAAAGGGAATGTTCAATTCTGTGACTTGAATGCAAACATCACAAAGAAGTTCCTGAGAATGCTTCTCTCTAGATATTATATGTCATCCCGTTTCCAACGAAATCCTCAAAGCTATCCAAATATCCACTTGCAGATTCTACAAAAAGAGTGTTTCAAAACTGCTCTGTCAAAAGGATGGTTCAACACTGTTACATGAGTACACACAACACAAAGAAGTTTCTGAGAAGGCTTCTTTCTGGTTTTTATGAGAAGATATTTCCTTTTTCACCATAGGCCTCAAAGCGCTCGAAATGTCCGCTTCCAGGTAGTGCAGAAAGAGTGTTTCAAACCGGCTCTATGAAAGGAAGTGTTCAAATCCATGAGCTGAATGCAAACATCACTGAGAAGTTTCTGAGAATGCTTCTGTTTGATTTAATATGAAGAAATTCCCGTTTCCAACGAAATCTTCAAAGCTATCCACATATCCACCTGCAGATTCTACAAAAGGAGTGTTTCCAAAATGCTGTATCAAAACCAAGGTTCAACTCTGTTAGTTGAGGACACACATCACAAATAAGTTTCTGAGAATGCTTCTGTCTAGATTTTATATGAAGATATCCCCTTTCCAACGAATCCCTCTAAGCTATCCAAATATCCACCTGCAGATTCTACAAAAAGAGTGTTTCCAAAATGCTGTATCAAAACAAAGGTTCAACTCTGTTAGTTGAGGACACACATCACAAATAAGTTTCTGAGGATGCTTCTGTCTAGTTTTTATTCGAAGATATTTCCTTTCTCACCTTAGGCCTGAAAGCGCTTGAAATGTCCACTTCCAGATACTACAGAATGAGTGTTTCAAACCTGCTCTATCAAAGTGAATGTTCAATTCTGTGACTTCAATGCAAACATCACAAAGAAGTTCCTGAGAATGCTTCTCTCTAGATTTTATACGTAATCCCGCTTCCAACGAAATCCTCAGAGCCATCCGAATATCCACTTTCTGATTCCACAAAAAGAGTGTTTTAAAACGGCTCTGTAAAAACAAAAGTTCAACTCTGTTAGTTGAATACACACATCACAAACAAGTTTCTGAGAATGCTTCTGTCTAGTTTTTATGGGAAGATATTTCCTTTTTCACCATAGGCCTCAAAGCGCTCGAAATGTCCGCTTCCAGATAGTGCAGAAAGAGTGTTTCAAACGTGCTCTATAAAAGGGAATATTCAACTCTGTGACTTGAATGGAAACATCACAAAGCAGTTTCTGAGAATGCTTCCCTCTAGATTTTATATGGAGATATTCCCGTTTCCAACGAAATCTTCAAATCTATCTAAATATCAACTTGCAGATTCTACTCAAGGAATGTTTCCAAAATGCTGTATCCAGGCAATGGTTCAACTCTGTTAATTGAGGACATACAGCACAAAGAAGTTTCTGAGAATGCTTCTGTCTAGATTTTATATGAAGATATCCCGTTTCCAACGAAATCCTCAAAGCTATCCAAATATCCACTTGCAGATTCTACAAAAAGATTGTTTCAAAACTGCTGTGTCAAAAGGAAGGTTCAACTCTGTTACTTGAGTACACACATCAAAAAGAAGTTTCTGAGAATGCTTGTTTCTGGTTTTTATGAGAAGATATTTCCTTTTTCACCATAGGCCTCAAAGCGCTGCAAATGTCCACTTCCAAATATTACAAAAAGAGTGTTTCAAACCTGCTCTATGAAAGGAAGTTTTCAACTCTATGAGTGGAATGCAAACATCACAGAGAAGTTTCTGAGAATGCATCTGTCTTGAGCTTCTATGAAGAAATTCCCGTTTCCAACGAAATCTTAAAATCTATCCAAATATCCACCTGCAGATCCTACAAAAGGAGTGTTTCCAAAATGCTGTATCAAAACAAAGGTTCAACTGTGTTCGTTTAGGACACACATCACAAATAAGTTTCTGAGAATCCTTCTCTCTAGTTTTTATTTGAAGATATTTCCTTTCTCCCCGTAGGCCTGAAAGCGCTTGAAATGTCCACTTCCAGATACTACAGAAAGAGTGTTTCAAACCTGCACTCTGAAAAGGAATGTTCAATTCTGTGACTTGAATGCAAACATCAGAAAGAAGTTCCTGAGAATGCTTCTCTCTAGATTTTATACGTCATCCCGTTTCCAACGAAATCCACAAAGCTATCCAATTATCCACTTTCAGATTCCACAAAAAGAGTGTTTTAAAATTGCTCTGTAACAGAAATGTTCAACTCTGTTAGTTGAATACACACATCACAAACAAGTTTCTGAGACGGCTTCTGTCTAGTTTTTATGGGAAGATATTTCCTTTTAACCATAGGCCTCAAAGAGCTCGAAATATCCACTTCCAGGTAGTGCCGAAAGAGTGTTTCAAACCTACTCTATAAAAGGGAATATTCAACTCTGTGACTTGAATGCAAACATCACAAAGCAGTTTCTGAGAATGCTTCCGTCTAGATTTTCTATGAAGATATTCCCGTTTCCAACGAAATCTTCAAAGCTATCTAAATATCAACTTGCAGATTCTACTAAAGGAATGTCTCCAAAATGCTGTATCCAAACAAAGGTTCAGCTCTGTGAATTGAGGACATACAGCACAAAGAAGTTTCTGAGAATGCTCCTGTCTGGATTTTATAGGAAGATAACCCGTTTCCAACGAAATCCTCAAAGCTCTCCAAATATCCACTTGCAGATTCTACCAAAAGAGTGTTTCAAAACTGCTCTGTCAAAAGGAAGGTTCAACACTGTTACTTGAGTACACACAACACAAAGAAGTTTCTGAGAATGCTTCTTTCTGGTTTTTATGAGAAGATATTTCCTTTTTCACCATAGGCCTCAAAGCGCTCGAAATGTCCGCTTCCAGGTAGTGCAGAAAGAGTGTTTCAAACCTGCTCTATGAAAGGAAGTGTTCAACTCTACTGAGTTGAATGCAAACATCACAGAGATGTTTCCGAGAATGCTTCTGTCTTGATTTTATATGAAGATATTCCGGTTTCCAACGAAATCTTCAAAGCTATCCAAATATCCACCTGCAGATTCTACAAAAGGAGTGTTTCCAAAATGCTGTATCAAAACAAAGGTTCAACTCTGTTAGTTGAGGACACACATCACAAATAAGTTTCTGAGAATGCTTCTGTCTAGTTTTTATTTGAAGGTATTTCCTTTCTCTCCATAGGCCTGAAAGCGCTTGAAATGCCCACTTCCAGATACTAGAGAAAGAGTGTTTCAAACCTGCTCTATGAAAGGGAATGTTCAATTCTGTGACTTGAATGCAAACATCACAAAGAAGTTCCTGAGAATGCTTCTCTCTAGATATTATATGTCATCCCGTTTCCAACGAAATCCTCAAAGCTATCCAAATATCCACTTGCAGATTCTACAAAAAGAGTGTTTCAAAACTGCTCTGTCAAAAGGATGGTTCAACACTGTTACATGAGTACACACAACACAAAGAAGTTTCTGAGAATGCTTCTTTCTGGTTTCTATGAGAAGATATTTCCTTTTTCACCATAGGACTCAAAGCGCTCGAAATGTCCTCTTCCAGGTAGTGCAGAAAGAGTGTTTCAAACTGGCTCTATGAAAGGAAGTGTTCAACTCCATGAACTGAATGCAAACATCACTGAGAAGTTTCTGAGAATGCTTCTGTTTGATTTTATATGAAGAAATTCCCGTTTCCAACGAAATCTTCAAAGCTGTCCACATATCCACCTGCAGATTCTTCAAAAGGAGTGTTTCCAAAATGCTGTATCAAAACCAAGGTTCAACTATGTTAGTTGAGGACACACATCACAAATAAGTTTCTGAGAATGCTTCTGTCTAGATTTTATATGAAGATATCCCCTTCCCAACGAATCCCTCTAAGCTATCCAAATATCCACCTGCAGATTCTACAAAAAGAGTGTTTCCAAAATGCTGTATCAAAACAAAGTTTCAACTCTGTTAGTTGAGGACACACATCACAAATAAGTTTCTGAGGATGCTTCTGTCTAGTTTTAATTTGAAGATATTTCCTTTCTCACCATAGGCCTGAAAGCGCTTGAAATGTCCACTTCCAGATACTACAGAATGAGTGTTTCAAACCTGCTCTATCAAAGTGAATGTTCAATTCTGTGACTTCAATGCAAACATCACAAAGTAGTTCCTGAGAATGCTTCTCTCTAGATTTTATACGTAATCCCGCTTCCAACGAAATCCTCAGAGCCATCCGAATATCCACTTTCTGATTCCACAAAAAGAGTGTTTTAAAACGGCTCTGTAAAAACAAAAGTTCAACTCTGTTAGTTGAATACACACATCACAAACAAGTTTGCTGAGAATGCTTTCTGTCTAGTTTTTATGGGAAGATATTTCCTTTTTCACCATAGGCCTCAAAGCGCTCGAAAGGTCCACTTCCAGATAGTGCAGAAAGAGTGTTTCAATCGTGCTCTATAAAAGAGAATATTCAACTCTCTGACTTGAATGGAAACATCACAAAGCAGTTTCTGAGAATGCTTCCGTCTAGATTTTCTATGAAGATATTCCCGTTTCCAACGAAATCTTCAAAGCTATCTAAATATCAACTTGCAGATTCTACTCAAGGAATGTTTCCAAAATGCTGTATCCAAGCAATGGTTCAACTCTGTTAATTGAGGACATACAGCACAAAGAAGTTTCTGAGAATGCTTCTGTCTAGATTTTATATGAAGATATCCCGTTTCCAACGAAATCCTCAAAGCTATCCAAATATCCACTTGCAGATTCTACAAAAAGATTGTTTCAAAACTGCTGTGTCAAAAGGAAGGTTCAACTCTGTTACTTGAGTACACACATCAAAAAGAAGTTTCTGAGAATGCTTGTTTCTGGTTTTTATGAGAAGATATTTCCTTTTTCACCATAGGCCTCAAAGCGCTGCAAATGTCCACTTCCAAATATTACAAAAAGAGTGTTTCAAACCTGCTCTATGAAAGGAAGTGTTCAACTCTACTGAGTTGAATGCAAACATCACAGAGATGTTTCCGAGAATGCTTCTGTCTTGATTTTATATGAAGATATTCCGGTTTCCAACGAAATCTTCAAAGCTATCCAAATATCCACCTGCAGATTCTACAAAAGGAGTGTTTCCAAAATGCTGTATCAAAACAAAGGTTCAACTCTGTTAGTTGAGGACACACATCACAAATAAGTTTCTGAGAATGCTTCTGTCTAGTTTTTATTTGAAGGTATTTCCTTTCTCTCCATAGGCCTGAAAGCGCTTGAAATGTCCACTTCCAGATACTAGAGAAAGAGTGTTTCAAACCTGCTCTATGAAAGGGAACGTTCAATTCTGTGACTTGAATGCAAACATCACAAAGAAGTTCCTGAGAATGCTTCTCTCTAGATATTATATGTCATCCCGTTTCCAACGAAATCCTCAAAGCTATCCAAATATCCACTTGCAGATTCTACAAAAAGAGTGTTTCAAAACTGCTCTGTCAAAAGGATGGTTCAACACTGTTACATGAGTACACACAACACAAAGAAGTTTCTGAGAATGCTTCTTTCTGGTTTTTATGAGAAGATATTTCCTTTTTCACCATAGGACTTAAAGCGCTCGAAATGTCCTCTTCCAGGTAGTGCAGAAAGAGTGTTTCAAACCTGCTCTATGAAAGGAAGTGTTCAACTCCATGAGCTGAATGCAAACATCACTGAGAAGTTTCTGAGAATGCTTCTGTTTGATTTTATATGAAGAAATTCCCCTTTCCAACGAAATCTTCAAAGCTATCCACATATCCACCTGCAGATTCTACAAAAGGAGTGTTTCCAAAATGCTGTATCAAAACCAAGGTTCAACTTTGTTAGTTGAGGACACACATCACAAATAAGTTTCTGAGAATGCTTCTGTCTAGATTTTATATGAAGATATCCCCTTTCCAACGAATCCCTCTAAGCTATCCAAATATCCACCTGCAGATTCTACAAAAAGAGTGTTTCCAAAATGCTGTATCAAAACAAAGTTTCAACTCTGTTAGTTGAGGACACACATCACAAATAAGTTTGAGGATGCTTCTGTCTAGTTTTTATTCGAAGATATTTCCTTTCTCACCATAGGCCTGAAAGCGCTTGAAATGTCCACTTCCAGATACTACAGAATGAGTGTTTCAAACCTGCTCTATCAAAGTGAATGTTCAATTCTGTGACTTCAATGCAAACATCACAAAGAAGTTCCTGAGAATGCTTCTCTCTAGATTTTATACGTAATCCCGCTTCCAACGAAATCCTCAGAGCCATCCGAATATCCACTTTCTGATTCCACAAAAAGAGTGTTTTAAAACGGCTCTGTAAAAACAAAAGTTCAACTCTGTTAGTTGAATACACACATCACAAACAAGTTTCTGAGAATGCTTCTGTCTAGTTTTTATGGGAAGATATTTCCTTTTTCACCATAGGCCTCAAAGCGCTCGAAATGTCCGCTTCCAGATAGTGCAGAAAGAGTGTTTCAAACGTGCTCTATAAAAGGGAATATTCAACTCTGTGACTTGAATGGAAACATCACAAAGCAGTTTCTGAGAATGCTTCCGTCTAGATTTTATATGAAGATATTCCCGTTTCCAACGAAATCTTCAAAGCTATCTACATATCAACTTGCAGATTCTACTCAAGGAATGTTTCCAAAATGCTGTATCCAAGCCATGGTTCAACTCTGTTAATTGAGGACATACAGCACAAAGATGTTTCTGAGAATGCTTCTGTCTAGATTTTATATGAAGATATCCCGTTTCCAACGAAATCCTCAAAGCTATCCAAATATCCACTTGCAGATTCTACAAAAAGATTGTTTCAAAACTGCTGTGTCAAAAGGAAGGTTCAACTCTGTTACTTGAGTACACACATCAAAAAGAAGTTTCTGAGAATGCTTGTTTCTGGTTTTTATGAGAAGATATTTCCTTTTTCACCATAGGCCTCAAAGCGCTCGAAATGTCCGCTTCCAGGTAGTGCAGAAAGAGTGTTTCAAACCTGCTCTATGAAAGGAAGTGTTCAACTCTACTGAGTTGAATGCAAACATCACAGAGATGTTTCCGAGAATGCTTCTGTCTTGAGTTTATATGAAGAAATTCCCGTTTCCAACGAAATCTTAAAATCTATCCACATATCCACCTGCAGATTCTACAAAGGGAGTGTTTCCAAAATGCTGTATCAAAACAAAGGTTCAACTGTGTTCGTTTAGGACACACATCACCAATAAGTTTCTGAGAATCCTTCTGTCTAGTTTTTATTTGAAGATATTTCCTTTCTCCCCATAAGGCCTGAAAGCGCTTGAAATGTCCACTTCCAGATACTACAGAAAGAGTGTTTCAAACCTGCACTATGAAAAGGAATGTTCAATTCTGTGACTTGAATGCAAACATCAGAAAGAAGTTCCTGAGAATGCTTCTCTCTAGATTTTATACGTCATCCCGTTTCCAACGAAATCCACAAAGCTATCCAATTATCCACTTTCAGATTCCACAAAAAGAGTGTTTTAAAACTGCTGTGTAGAAAGAAATGTTCAACGCTCTTAGTTGAATACACACATCTCAAACAAGTTTCTGAGAAGGCTTCCGTCTAGTTTTTATGGGAAGATATTTCCTTTTTCACCAAAGGCCTCAAAGCGCTCGAAATCTCCACTTCCAGGGAGTGCAGAAAGAGTGTTTCATACCTGCTCTGTAAAAGAATATTTAACTCTGTGACTTGAATGCAAACATCACAAAGCAGTTTCTGACAATGCTTCCGTCTAGATTTTTTATGAAGATATTCCCGTTTCCAACGAAATCTTCAAAGCTATCTAAATATCAACTTGCAGATTCTACTAAAGGAATGTTTCCAAAATGCTGTATCCAAACAAAGGTTCAACTCTGTGAATTGAGGACATACAGCAGAAAGAAGTTTCTGAGAATGCTTCTGTCTAGATTTAATATGAAGATAACCCGTTTCCAACGAAATCCTCAAAGCTATCCAAATATCCACTTGCAGATTCTACAAAAAGAGTGTTTCAAAACTGCTCTGTCAAAAGGATGGTTCAACACTGTTACATGAGTACACACAACACAAAGAAGTTTCTGAGAACGCTTCTTTCTGGTTTTTATGAGAAGATATTTCCTTTTTCACCATAGGCCTCAAAGCGCTGGAAATGTCCACTTCCTGGTAGTGCAGAAAGAGTGTTTCAAACCTGCTCTATGAAAGGAAGTGTTCAACTCCATGAGCTGAATGCAAACATCACAGAGAAGTTTCTGAGAATGCTTCTGTTTGATTTTATATGAAGAAATTCCCGTTTCCAACGAAATCTTCAAAGCTATCCACATATCCACCTGCAGATTCTACAAAAGGAGTGTTTCCAAAATGCTGTATCAAAACCAAGGTTCCACTCTGTTAGTTGAGGACACACATCACAAATAAGTTTCTGAGAATGCTTCTGTCTAGATTTTATATGAGGATATCCCCTTTCCAACGAATCCCTCTAAGCTATCCAAACATCCACCTGCAGATTCTACAAAAAGAGTGTTTCCAAAATGCTGTATCAAAACAAAGTTTCAACTCTGTTAGTTGAGGACACACATCACAAATAAGTTTCTGAGGATGCTTCTGTCTAGTTTTTATTTGAAGATATTTCCTTTCTCCCCATAGGCCTGAAAGCGCTAGAATTGTCCGCTTCCAGATACTACAGAATGAGTGTTTCAAACCTGCTCTATCAAAGTGAATGTTCAATTCTGTGACTTCAATGCAAACATCACAAAGTAGTTCCTGAGAATGCTTCTCTCTAGATTTTATATGTAATCCCGCTTCCAACGAAATCCTCAAAGCCATCCGAATATCCACTTTCTGATTCCACAAAAAGATTGTCTTAAAACTGCTCTGTAAAAACAAAAGTTCAAGTCTGTTAGTTGAATACACACATCACAAACAAGTTTCTGAGAATGCTTCTGTCCAGTTTTTATGGGAAGATATTTCCTTTTTCACTATAGGCCTCACAGCGCTCGAAATTTCCACTTCCAGATAGTGCAGAAAGAGTGTTTCAAACGTGCTCTATAAAAGAGAATATTCAACTCTGTGACTTGAATGGAAACATCACAAAGCAGTTTCTGAGAATGCCTCCGTCTAGATTTTATATGAAGATATTCCCGTTTCCAACGAAATCTTCAAATCTCTCTAAATATCAACTTGCAGATTCTACTAAAGGAATGTTTCCAAAATGCTGTATCCAAGCAATGGTTCAACTCTGTTAATTGAGGACATACAGCACAAAGAAGTTTCTGAGAATGCTTCTGTCTAGATTTTATATGAAGATATCCCGTTTCCAACGAAATCCTCAAAGCTATCCAAATATCCACTTGCAGATTCTACAAAAAGATTGTTTCAAAACTGCTGTGTCAAAAGGAAGGTTCAACTCTGTTACTTGAGTACACACATCAAAAAGAAGTTTCTGAGAATGCTTGTTTCTGGTTTTTATGAGAAGATATTTCCTTTTTCACCATAGGCCTCAAAGCACTGCAAATGTCCACTTCCAAATATTACAAAAAGAGTGTTTCAAACCTGCTCTATGAAAGGAAGTTTTCAACTCTATGAGTGGAATGCAAACATTACAGAGAAGTTTCTGAGAATGCATCTGTCTTGAGTTTATATGAAGAAATTCCCGTTTCCAACGAAATCTTAAAATCTATCCAAATATCCACCTGCAGATTCTACAAAGGGAGTGTTTCCAAAATGCTGTATCAAAACAAAGGTTCAACTGTGTTCGTTTAGGACACACATCACCAATAAGTTTCTGAGAATCCTTCTGTCTAGTTTTTATTTGAAGATATTTCCTTTCTCCCCATAGGCCTGAAAGCGCTTGAAATGTCCACTTCCAGATACTACAGAAAGAGTGTTTCAAACCTGCACTATGAAAAGGAATGTTCAATTCTGTGAGTTGAATGCAAACATCAGAAAGAAGTTCCTGAGAATGCTTCTCTCTAGATTTTATACGTCATCCCGTTTCCAACGAAATCCACAAAGCTATCCAATTATCCACTTTCAGATTCCACAAAAGAGTGTTTTAAAACTGCTCTGTAAAAAGAAATGTTCAACGCTCTTAGTTGAATACACACATCTCAAACAAGTTTCTGAGAAGGCTCTGTCTAGTTTTTATGGGAAGATATTTCCTTTTAACCATAGGCCTCAAAGAGCTCGAAATATCCACTTCCAGGTAGTGCCGAAAGAGTGTTTCAAACCTACTCTATAAAAGGGAATATTCAACTCTGTGACTTGAATGCAAACATCACAAAGCAGTTTCTGAGAATGCTCTCCGTCTAGCATTTTATATGAAGATATTCCCGTTTCCAACGAAATCTTCAAAGCTATCTAAATATCAACTTGCAGATTCTACTAAAGGAATGTTTCCAAAATGCTGTATCCAAGCAATGGTTCAACTCTGTTAATTGAGGACATACAGCACAAAGAAGTTTCTGAGAATGCTTCTGTCTAGATTTTATATGAAGATATCCCATTTCCAACGAAATCCTCAAAGCTATCCAAATATCCACTTGCAGATTCTACAAAAAGATTGTTTCAAAACTGCTGTGTCAAAAGGAAGGTTCAACTCTGTTACTTGAGTACACACATCAAAAAGCAGTTTCTGAGAATGCTTGTTTCTGGTTTTTATGAGAAGATATTTCCTTTTTCACCATAGGCCTCAAAGCGCTGCAAATGTCCACTTCCAAATATTACAAAAAGAGTGTTTCAAACCTGCTCTATGAAAGGAAGTTTTCAACTCTGTGAGTGGAATGCAAACATCACAGAGAAGTTTCTGAGAATGCATCTGTCTTGAGTTTATATGAAGAAATTCCCGTTTCCAATGAAATCTTAAAATCTATCCAAATACCCACCTGCAGATTCTACAAAAGGAGTGCTTCCAAAATGCTGTATCAAAACAAAGGTTCAACTGTGTTCGTTGAGAACACACATAACAAATAAGTTTCTGAGAATCCTTCTGTCTAGTTTTTATTTCAAGATATTTCCTTTCTCCCCATAGGCCTGAAAGCGCTTGAAATGTCCACTTCCAGATACTACAGAGTGTTTCAAACCTGCACTATGAAAAGGAATGTTCAATTCTGTGACTTGAATGCAAACATCAGAAAGAAGTTCCTGAGAATGCTTCTCTCTAGATTTTATTCGTAATCCCGTTTCCAACGAAATCCACAAAGCTATCCAGTTATCCACTTTCAGATTCCACAAAAAGAGTGTTTTAAAACTGCTCTGTACAAAGAAATGTTCAACGCTCTTAGTTGAATACACACATCTCAAACAAGTTTCTGAGAAGGCTTCTGTCTAGTTTTTATGGGAAGATATTTCCTTTTAACCATAGGCCTCAAAGAGCTCGAAATATCCACTTCCAGGTAGTGCCGAAAGAGTGTTTCAAACCTACTCTATAAAAGGGAATATTCAACTCTGTGACTTGAATGCAAACATCACAAAGCAGTTTGCTGAGAATGCTTCCGTCTAGCATTTTCTATGAAGATATTCCCGTTTCCAACGAAATCTTCAAAGCTATCTAAATATCAACTTGCAGATTCTACTAAAGGAATGTCTCCAAAATGCTGTATCCAAACAAAGGTTCAGCTCTGTGAATTGAGGACATACAGCACAAAGAAGTTTCTGAGAATGCTCCTGTCTGGATTTTATAGGAAGATAACCCGTTTCCAACGAAATCCTCAAAGCTATCCAAATATCCACTTGCAGATTCTACCAAAAGAGTGTTTCAAAACTACTCTGTCAAAAGGAAGGTTCAACACTGTTACTTGAGTACACACAACACAAAGAAGTTTCTGAGAATGCTTCTTTCTGGTTTTTATGAGAAGATATTTCCTTTTTCACCATAGGCCTCAAAGCGCTCGAAATGTCCGCTTCCAGGTAGTGCAGAAAGAGTGTTTCAAACCTGCTCTATGAAAGGAAGTGTTCAACTCTACTGAGTTGAATGCAAACATCACAGAGATGTTTCCGAGAATGCTTCTGTCTTGATTTTATATGAAGATATTCCGGTTTCCAACGAAATCTTCAAAGCTATCCAAATATCCACCTGCAGATTCTACAAAAGGAGTGTTTCCAAAATGCTGTATCAAAACAAAGGTTCAACTCTGTTAGTTGAGGACACACATCACAAATAAGTTTCTGAGAATGCTTCTGTCTAGTTTTTATTTGAAGGTATTTCCTTTCTCTCCATAGGCCTGAAAGCGCTTGAAATGCCCACTTCCAGATACTAGAGAAAGAGTGTTTCAAACCTGCTCTATGAAAGGGAATGTTCAATTCTGTGACTTGAATGCAAACATCACAAAGAAGTTCCTGAGAATGCTTCTCTCTAGATATTATATGTCATCCCGTTTCCAACGAAATCCTCAAAGCTATCCAAATATCCACTTGCAGATTCTACAAAAAGAGTGTTTCAAAACTCCTCTGTCAAAAGGATGGTTCAACACTGTTACATGAGTACACACAACACAAAGAAGTTTCTGAGAATGCTTCTTTCTGGTTTCTATGAGAAGATATTTCCTTTTTCACCATAGGACTCAAAGCGCTCGAAATGTCCTCTTCCAGGTAGTGCAGAAAGAGTGTTTCAAACCTGCTCTATGAAAGGAAGTGTACAACTCCATGAGCTGAATGCAAACATCACTGAGAAGTTTCTGAGAATGCTTCTGTTTGATTTTATATGAAGAAATTCCCGTTTCCAACGAAATCTTCAGAGCTATCCACATATCCACCTGCAGATTCTACAAAAGGAGTGTTTCCAAAATGCTGTATCAAAACCAAGGTTCAACTCTGTTAGTTGAGGACACACATCACAAATAAGTTTCTGAGAATGCTTCTGTCTAGATTTTATATGAAGATATCCCCTTTCCAACGAATCCCTCTAAGCTATCCAAATATCCACCTGCAGATTCTACAAAAAGAGTGTTTCCAAAATGCTGTATCAAAACAAAGTTTCAACTCTGTTAGTTGAGGACACACATCACAAATAAGTTTCTGAGGATGCTTCTGTCTAGTTTTTATTCGAAGATATTTCCTTTCTCACCATAGGCCTGAAAGCGCTTGAAATGTCCACTTCCAGATACTACAGAATGAGTGTTTCAAACCTGCTCTATAAAAGTGAATGTTCAATTCTGTGACTTCAATGCAAACATCAGAAAGAAGTTCCTGAGAATGCTTCTCTCTAGATTTTATACGTAATCCTGCTTCCAACGAAATCCTCAGAGCCATCCGAATATCCACTTTCTGATTCCACAAAAAGAGTGTTTTAAAACGGCTCTGTAAAAACAAAAGTTCAACTCTGTTAGTTGAATACACACATCACAAACAAGTTTCTGAGAATGCTTCTGTCTAGTTTTTATGGGAAGATATTTCCTTTTTCACCATAGGCCTCAAAGCGCTCGAAATGTCCGCTTCCAGATAGTGCAGAAAGAGTGTTTCAAACGTGCTCTATGAAAGGAAGTTTTCAACTCTATGAGTGGAATGCAAACATCACAGAGAAGTTTCTGAGAATGCATCTGTCTTGAGCTTCTATGAAGAAATTCCCGTTTCCAACGAAATCTTAAAATCTATCCAAATATCCACCTGCAGATCCTACAAAAGGAGTGTTTCCAAAATGCTGTATCAAAACAAAGGTTCAACTGTGTTCGTTTAGGACACACATCACAAATAAGTTTCTGAGAATCCTTCTGTCTAGTTTTTATTTGAAGATATTTCCTTTCTCCCCGTAGGCCTGAAAGCGCTTGAAATGTCCACTTCCAGATACTACAGAAAGAGTGTTTCAAACCTGCACTCTGAAAAGGAATGTTCAATTCTGTGACTTGAATGCAAACATCAGAAAGAAGTTCCTGAGAATGCTTCTCTCTAGATTTTATACGTCATCCCGTTTCCAACGAAATCCACAAAGCTATCCAATTATCCACTTTCAGATTCCACAAAGAGTGTTTTAAAATTGCTCTGTAACAGAAATGTTCAACTCTGTTAGTTGAATACACACATCACAAACAAGTTTCTGAGACGGCTTCTGTCTAGTTTTTATGGGAAGATATTTCCTTTTAACCATAGGCCTCAAAGAGCTCGAAATATCCACTTCCAGGTAGTGCCGAAAGAGTGTTTCAAACCTACTCTATAAAAGGGAATATTCAACTCTGTGACTTGAATGCAAACATCACAAAGCAGTTTCTGAGAATGCTTCCGTCTAGATTTTCTATGAAGATATTCCCGTTTCCAACGAAATCTTCAAAGCTATCTAAATATCAACTTGCAGATTCTACTAAAGGAATGTCTCCAAAATGCTGTATCCAAACAAAGGTTCAGCTCTGTGAATTGAGGACATACAGCACAAAGAAGTTTCTGAGAATGCTCCTGTCTGGATTTTATATGAAGATAACCCGTTTCCAACGAAATCCTCAAAGCTATCCAAATATCCACTTGCAGATTCTACCAAAAGAGTGTTTCAAAACTGCTCTGTCAAAAGGAAGGTTCAACACTGTTACTTGAGTACACACAACACAAAGAAGTTTCTGAGAATGCTTCTTTCTGGTTTTTATGAGAAGATATTTCCTTTTTCACCATAGGCCTCAAAGAGCTCGAAATGTCCGCTTCCAGGTAGGGCAGAAAGAGTGTTTCAAACCTGCTCTATGAAAGGAAGTGTTCAACTCTACTGAGTTGAATGCAAACATCACAGAGATGTTTCCGAGAATGCTTCTGTCTTGATTTTATATGAAGATATTCCGGTTTCCAACGAAATCTTCAAAGCTATCCACATATCCACCTGCAGATTCTACAAAAGGAGTGTTTCCAAAATGCTGTATCAAAACAAAGGTTCAACTCTGTTAGTTGAGGACACACATCACAAATAAGTTTCTGAGAATGCTTCTGTCTAGTTTTTATTTGAAGGTATTTCCTTTCTCTCCATAGGCCTGAAAGCGCTTGAAATGCCCACTTCCAGATACTAGAGAAAGAGTGTTTCAAACCTGCTCTATGAAAGGGAATGTTCAATTCTGTGACTTGAATGCAAACATCACAAAGAAGTTCCTGAGAATGCTTCTCTCTAGATATTATATGTCATCCCGTTTCCAACGAAATCCTCAAAGCTATCCAAATATCCACTTGCAGATTCTACAAAAAGAGTGTTTCAAAACTGCTCTGTCAAAAGGATGGTTCAACACTGTTACATGAGTACACACAACACAAAGAAGTTTCTGAGAATGCTTCTTTCTGGTTTCTATGAGAAGATATTTCCTTTTTCACCATAGGACTCAAAGCGCTCGAAATGTCCTCTTCCAGGTAGTGCAGAAAGAGTGTTTCAAACCGGCTCTATGAAGGGAAGTGTTCAACTCCATGAACTGAATGCAAACATCACTGAGAAGTTTCTGAGAATGCTTCTGTTTGATTTTATATGAAGAAATTCCCGTTTCCAACGAAATCTTCAGAGCTATCCACATATCCACCTGCAGATTCTACAAAAGGAGTGTTTCCAAAATGCTGTATCAAAACCAAGGTTCAACTCTGTTAGTTGAGGACACACATCACAAATAAGTTTCTGAGAATGCTTCTGTCTAGATTTTATATGAAGATATCCCCTTTCCAACGAATCCCTCTAAGCTATCCAAATATCCACCTGCAGATTCTACAAAAAGAGTGTTTCCAAAATGCTGTATCAAAACAAAGTTTCAACTCTGTTAGTTGAGGACACACATCACAAATAAGTTTCTGAGGATGCCTCTGTCTAGTTTTTATTTGAAGATATTTCCTTTCTCACCATAGGCCTGAAAGCGCTTGAAATGTCCACTTCCAGATCCTACAGAATGAGTGTTTCAAACCTGCTCTATCAAAGTGAATGTTCAATTCTGTGACTTCAATGCAAACATCACAAAGAAGTTCCTGAGAATGCTTCTCTCTAGATTTTATATGTAATCCCGCTTCCAACGAAATCCTCAGAGCCATCCGAATATCCACTTTCTGATTCCACAAAAAGAGTGTTTTAAAACGGCTCTGTAAAAACAAAAGTTCAACTCTGTTAGTTGAATACACACATCACAAACAAGTTTCTGAGAATGCTTCTGTCTAGTTTTTATGGGAAGATATTTCCTTTTTCACCATAGGCCTCAAAGCGCTCGAAATGTCCACTTCCAGATAGTGCAGAAAGAGTGTTTCAAACGTGCTCTATAAAAGGGAATATTCAACTCTGTGACTTGAATGGAAACATCACAAAGCAGTTTCTGAGAATGCTTCCCTCTAGATTTTATATGGAGATATTCCCTTTTCCAACGAAATCTTCAAATCTATCTAAATATCAACTTGCAGATTCTACTCAAGGAATGTTTCCAAAATGCTGTATCCAAGCAATGGTTCAACTCTGTTAATTGAGGACATACAGCACAAAGAAGTTTCTGAGAATGCTTCTGTCTAGATTTTATATGAAGATATCCCGTTTCCAACGAAATCATCAAAGCTATCCAAATGTCCACTTGCAGATTCTACAAAAAGATTGTTTCAAAACTGCTGTGTCAAAAGGAAGGTTCAACTCTGATATTTGAGTACACACATCAAAAAGAAGTTTCTGAGAATGCTTGTTTCTGGTTTTTATGAGAAGATATTTCCTTTTTCACCATAGGCCTCAAAGCGCTGCAAATGTCCACTTCCAAATATTACAAAAAGAGTGTTTCAAACCTGCTCTATGAAAGGAAGTTTTCAACTCTATGAGTGGAATGCAAACATCACAGAGAAGTTTCTGAGAATGCATCTGTCTTGAGTTTCTATGCAGAAATTCCCGTTTCCAATGAAATCTTAAAATCTATCCAAATATCCACCTGCAGATTCTACAAAAGGAGTGTTTCCAAAATGCTGTATCAAAACAAAGGTTCAACTGTGTTCGCTTAGGACACACATCACAAATAAGTTTCTGAGAATCCTTCTGTCTAGTTTTTATTTGAAGATATTTCCTTTCTCCCCATAGGCCTGAAAGCGCTTGAAATGTCCACTTCCAGATACTACAGAAAGAGTGTTTCAAACCTGCACTCTGAAAAGGAATGTCAATTCTGTGACTTGAATGCAAACATCAGAAAGAAGTTCCTGAGAATGCTTCTCTCTAGATTTTATACGTCATCCCGTTTCTAACGAAATCCACAAAGCTACCCAAATATCCACTTTCAGATTCCACAAAAAGAGTGTTTTAAAATTGCTCTGTAACAGAAATGTTCAACTCTGTTAGTTGAATACACACATCACAAACAAGTTTCTGAGACGGCTTCTGTCTAGTTTTTATGGGAAGATATTTCCTTTTAACCATAGGCCTCAAAGAGCTCGAAATATCCACTTCCAGGTAGTGCCGAAAGAGTGTTTCAAACCTACTCTATAAAAGGGAATATTCAACTCTGTGACTTGAATGCAAACATCACAAAGCAGTTTCTGAGAATGCTTCCGTCTAGATTTTCTATGAAGATATTCCCGTTTCCAACGAAATCTTCAAAGCTATCTAAATATCAACTTGCAGATTCTACTAAAGGAATGTCTCCAAAATGCTGTATCCAAACAAAGGTTCAGCTCTGTGAATTGAGGACATACAGCACAAAGAAGTTTCTGAGAATGCTCCTGTCTGGATTTTATAGGAAGATAACCCGTTTCCAACGAAATCCTCAAAGCTATCCAAATATCCACTTGCAGATTCTACCAAAAGAGTGTTTCAAAACTGCTCTGTCAAAAGGAAGGTTCAACACTGTTACTTGAGTACACACAACACAAAGAAGTTTCTGAGAATGCTTCTTTCTGGTTTTTATGAGAAGATATTTCCTTTTTCACCATAGGCCTCAAAGCGCTCGAAATGTCCGCTTCCAGGTAGTGCAGAAAGAGTGTTTCAAACCTCCTCTATGAAAGGAAGTGTTCAACTCTACTGAGTTGAATGCAAACATCACAGAGATGTTTCCGAGAATGCTTCTGTCTTGATTTTATATGAAGATATTCCGGTTTCCAACGAAATCTTCAAAGCTATCCAAATATCCACCTGCAGATTCTACAAAAGGAGTGTTTCCAAAATGCTGTATCAAAACAAAGGTTCAACTCTGTTAGTTGAGGACACACATCACAAATAAGTTTCTGAGAATGCTTCTGTCTAGTTTTTATTTGAAGGTATTTCCTTTCTCTCCATAGGCCTGAAAGCGCTTGAAATGCCCACTTCCAGATACTAGAGAAAGAGTGTTTCAAACCTGCTCTATGAAAGGGAATGTTCAATTCTGTGACTTGAATGCAAACATCACAAAGAAGTTCCTGAGAATGCTTCTCTCTAGATATTATATGTCATCCCGTTTCCAACGAAATCCTCAAAGCTATCCAAATATCCACTTGCAGATTCTACAAAAAGAGTGTTTCAAAACTCCTCTGTCAAAAGGATGGTTCAACACTGTTACATGAGTACACACAACACAAAGAAGTTTCTGAGAATGCTTCTTTCTGGTTTCTATGAGAAGATATTTCCTTTTTCACCATAGGCCTCAAAGCGCTCGAAATGTCCGCTTCCAGGTAGTGCAGAGAGAGTGTTTCAAACCTGCTCTATGAAAGGAAGTATTCAACTCTACTGAGTTGAATGCAAACATCACAGAGATGTTTCCGAGAATGCTTCTGTCTTGATTTTATATGAAGATATTCCGGTTTCCAACGAAATCTTCAAAGCTATCCAAATATCCACCTGCAGATTCTACAAAAGGAGTGTTTCCAAAATGCTGTATCAAAACAAAGGTTCAACTCTGTTAGTTGAGGACACACATCACAAATAAGTTTCTGAGAATGCTTCTGTCTAGTTTTTATTTGAAGGTATTTCCTTTCTCTCCATAGGCCTGAAAGCGCTTGAAATGCCCACTTCCAGATACTAGAGAAAGAGTGTTTCAAACCTGCTCTATGAAAGGGAATGTTCAATTCTGTGACTTGAATGCAAACATCACAAAGAAGTTCCTGAGAATGCTTCTCTCTAGATATTATATGTCATCCCGTTTCCAACGAAATCCTCAAAGCTATCCAAATATCCACTTGCAGATTCTACAAAAAGAGTGTTTCAAAACTGCTCTGTCAAAAGGATGGTTCAACACTGTTACATGAGTACACACAACACAAAGAAGTTTCTGAGAATGCTTCTTTCTGGTTTCTATGAGAAGATATTTCCTTTTTCACCATAGGACTCAAAGCGCTCGAAATGTCCTCTTCCAGGTAGTGCAGAAAGAGTGTTTCAAACCTGCTCTATGAAAGGAAGTGTACAACTCCATGAGCTGAATGCAAACATCACTGAGAAGTTTCTGAGAATGCTTCTGTTTGATTTTATATGAAGAAATTCCCGTTTCCATCGAAATCTTCAGAGCTATCCACATATCCACCTGCAGATTCTACAAAAGGAGTGTTTCCAAAATGCTGTATCAAAACCAAAGTTCAACTCTGTTAGTTGAGGACACACATCACAAATAAGTTTCTGAGAATGCTTCTGTCTAGATTCTATATGAAGATATCCCCTTTCCAACGAATCCCTCTAAGCTATCCAAATATCCACCTGCAGATTCTACAAAAAGAGTGTTTCCAAAATGCTGTATCAAAACAAAGTTTCAACTCTGTTAGTTGAGGACACACATCACAAATAAGTTTGAGGATGCTTCTGTCTAGTTTTTATTCGAAGATATTTCCTTTCTCACCATAGGCCTGAAAGCGCTTGAAATGTCCACTTCCAGATACTACAGAATGAGTGTTTCAAACCTGCTCTATCAAAGTGAATGTTCAATTCTGTGACTTCAATGCAAACATCACAAAGAAGTTCCTGAGAATGCTTCTCTCTAGATTTTATATGTAATCCCGCTTCCAACGAAATCCTCAGAGCCATCCGAATATCCACTTTCTGATTCCACAAAAAGAGTGTTTTAAAACGGCTCTGTAAAAACAAAAGTTCAACTCTGTTAGTTGAATACACACATCACAAACAAGTTTCTGAGAATGCTTCTGTCTAGTTTTTATGGGAAGATATTTCCTTTTTCACCATAGGCCTCAAAGCGCTCGAAATGTCCACTTCCAGATAGCGCAGAAAGAGTGTTTCAAACGTGCTCTATAAAAGGGAATATTCAACTCTGTGACTTGAATGGAAACATCACAAAGCAGTTTCTGAGAATGCTTCCCTCTAGATTTTATATGGAGATATTCCGTTTTCGAACGAAATCTTCAAATCTATCTAAATATCAACTTGCAGATTCTACTCAAGGAATGTTTCCAAAATGCTGTATGCAAGCAATGGTTCAACTCTGTTAATTGAGGTCATACAGCACAAAGAAGTTTCTGAGAATGCTTCTGTCTAGATTTTATATGAAGATATCCCGTTTCCAACGAAATCCTCAAAGCTATCCAAATATCCACTTGCAGATTCTACAAAAAGATTGTTTCAAAACTGCTGTGTCAAAAGGAAGGTTCAACTCTGTTACTTGAGTACACACATCAAAAAGAAGTTTCTGAGAATGCTTGTTTCTGGTTTTTATGAGAAGATATTTCCTTTTTCACCATAGGCCTCAAAGCGCTGCAAATGTCCACTTCCAAATATTACAAAAAGAGTGTTTCAAACCTGCTCTATGAAAGGAAGTTTTCAACTCTATGAGTGGAATGCAAACATCACAGAGAAGTTTCTGAGAATGCATCTGTCTTGAGTTTATATGCAGAAATTCCCGTTTCCAACGAAATCTTAAAATCTATCCAAATATCCACCTGCAGATCCTACAAAAGGAGTGTTTCCAAAATGCTGTATCAAAACAAAGGTTCAACTGTGTTCGCTTAGGACACACATCACAAATAAGTTTCTGAGAATCCTTCTCTCTAGTTTTTATTTGAAGATATTTCCTTTCTCCCCGTAGGCCTGAAAGCGCTTGAAATGTCCACTTCCAGATACTACAGAAAGAGTGTTTCAAACCTGCACTCTGAAAAGGAATGTTCAATTCTGTGACTTGAATGCAAACATCAGAAAGAAGTTCCTGAGAATGCTTCTCTCTAGATTTTATACGTCATCCCGTTTCCAACGAAATCCACAAAGCTATCCAATTATCCACTTTCAGATTCCACAAAAAGAGTGTTTTAAATTGCTCTGTAACAGAAATGTTCAACTCTGTTAGTTGAATACACACATCACAAACAAGTTTCTGAGACGGCTTTCTGTCTAGTTTTTATGGGAAGATATTTCCTTTTAACCATAGGCCTCAAAGAGCTCGAAATATCCACTTCCAGGTAGTGCCGAAAGAGTGTTTCAAACCTACTCTATAAAAGGGAATATTCAACTCTGTGACTTGAATGCAAACATCACAAAGCAGTTTCTGAGAATGCTTCCGTCTAGATTTTCTATGAAGATATTCCCGTTTCCAACGAAATCTTCAAAGCTATCTAAATATCAACTTGCAGATTCTACTAAAGGAATGTCTCCAAAATGCTGTATCCAAACAAAGGTTCAGCTCTGTGAATTGAGGAAATACAGCACAAAGAAGTTTCTGAGAATGCTCCTGTCTGGATTTTATATGAAGATAACCCGTTTCCAACGAAATCCTCAAAGCTCTCCAAATATCCACCTCCAGATTCTACCAAAAGAGTGTTTCAAAACTGCTCTGTCAAAAGGAAGGTTCAACACTGTTACTTGAGTACACACAACACAAAGAAGTTTCTGAGAATGCTTCTTTCTGGTTTTTATGAGAAGATATTTCCTTTTTCACCATAGGCCTCAAAGCGCTCGAAATGTCCGCTTCCAGGTAGTGCAGAAAGAGTGTTTCAAACCTGCTCTATGAAAGGAAGTGTTCAACTCTACTGAGTTGAATGCAAACATCACAGAGATGTTTCCGAGAATGCTTCTGTCTTGATTTTATATGAAGATATTCCGGTTTCCAACGAAATCTTCAAAGCTATCCAAATATCCACCTGCAGATTCTACAAAAGGAGTGTTTCCAAAATGCTGTATCAAAACAAAGGTTCAACTCTGTTAGTTGAGGACACACATCACAAATAAGTTTCTGAGAATGCTTCTGTCTAGTTTTTATTTGAAGGTATTTCCTTTCTCTCCATAGGCCTGAAAGCGCTTGAAATGCCCACTTCCAGATACTAGAGAAAGAGTGTTTCAAACCTGCTCTATGAAAGGGAATGTTCAATTCTGTGACTTGAATGCAAACATCACAAAGAAGTTCCTGAGAATGCTTCTCTCTAGATATTATATGTCATCCCGTTTCCAACGAAATCCTCAAAGCTATCCAAATATCCACTTGCAGATTCTACAAAAAGAGTGTTTCAAAACTGCTCTGTCAAAAGGATGGTTCAACACTGTTACATGAGTACACACAACAGAAAGAAGTTTGCTGAGAATGCTTCTTTCTGGTTTCTATGAGAAGATATTTCCTTTTTCACCATAGGACTCAAAGCGCTCGAAATGTCCTCTTCCAGGTAGTGCAGAAAGAGTGTTTCAAACCTGCTCTATGAAAGGAAGTGTACAACTCCATGAGCTGAATGCAAACATCACTGAGAAGTTTCTGAGAATGCTTCTGTTTGATTTTATATGAAGAAATTCCCGTTTCCAACGAAATCTTCAGAGCTATCCACATATCCACATGCAGATTCTACAAAAGGAGTGTTTCCAAAATGCTGTATCAAAACCAAGGTTCAACTCTGTTAGTTGAGGACACACATCACAAATAAGTTTCTGAGAATGCTTCTGTCTAGATTTTATATGAAGATATCCCCTTTCCAACGAATCCCTCTAAGCTATCCAAATATCCACCTGCAGATTCTACAAAAAGAGTGTTTCCAAAATGCTGTATCAAAACAAAGTTTCAACTCTGTTAGTTGAGGACACACATCACAAATAAGTTTGAGGATGCTTCTGTCTAGTTTTTATTCGAAGATATTTCCTTTCTCACCATAGGCCTGAAAGCGCTTGAAATGTCCACTTCCAGATACTACAGAATGAGTGTTTCAAACCTGCTCTATCAAAGTGAATGTTCAATTCTGTGACTTCAATGCAAACATCACAAAGAAGTTCCTGAGAATGCTTCTCTCTAGATTTTATACGTAATCCCGCTTCCAACGAAATCCTCAGAGCCATCCGAATATCCACTTTCTGATTCCACAAAAAGAGTGTTTTAAAACGGCTCTGTAAAAACAAAAGTTCAACTCTGTTAGTTGAATACACACATCACAAACAAGTTTCTGAGAATGCTTCTGTCTAGTTTTTATGGGAAGATATTTCCTTTTTCACCATAGGCCTCAAAGCGCTCGAAATGTCCACTTCCAGATAGTGCAGAAAGAGTGTTTCAAACGTGCTCTATAAAAGGGAATATTCAACTCTGTGACTTGAATGGAAACATCACAAAGCAGTTTCTGAGAATGCTTCCCTCTAGATTTTATATGGAGATATTCCCTTTTCCAACGAAATCTTCAAATCTATCTAAATATCAACTTGCAGATTCTACTCAAGGAATGTTTCCAAAATGCTGTATCCAAGCAATGGTTCAACTCTGTTAATTGAGGACATACAGCACAAAGAAGTTTCTGAGAATGCTTCTGTCTAGATTTTATATGAAGATATCCCGTTTCCAACGAAATCCTCAAAGCTATCCAAATATCCACTTGCAGATTCTACAAAAAGATTGTTTCAAAACTGCTGTGTCAAAAGGAAGGTTCAACTCTGTTACTTGAGTACACACATCAAAAAGCAGTTTCTGAGAACGCTTCTTTCTGGTTTTTATGAGAAGATATTTCCTTTTTCACCATAGGTCTCAAAGCGCTGCAAATGTCCACTTCCAAATATTACAAAAAGAGTGTTTCAAACCTGCTCTATGAAAGGAAGTTTTCAAATCTGTGAGTGGAATGCAAACATCACAGAGAAGTTTCTGAGAATGCAATCTGTCTTGAGTTTATATGAAGAAATTCCCGTTTCCAATGAAATCTTAAAATCTATCCAAATATCCACCTGCAGATTCTACAAAAGGAGTGTTTCCAAAATGCTGTATCAAAACAAAGGTTCAACTGTGTTCGTTGAGAACACACATCACAAATAAGTTTCTGAGAATCCTTCTGTCTAGTTTTTATTTCAAGATATTTCCTTTCTCCCCATAGGCCTGAAAGCGCTTGAAATGTCGACTTCCAGATACTACAGAGTGTTTCAAACCTGCACTATGAAAACGAATGTTCAATTCTGTGACTTGAATGCAAACATCAGAAAGAAGTTCCTGAGAATGCTTCTCTCTAGATTTTAAACGTAATCCCGTTTCCAACGAAATCCACAAAGCTATCCAATTATCCACTTTCAGATTGCACCAAAAGAGTGTTTTAAAACTGCTCTGTAAAAAGAAATGTTCAACGCTCTTAGTTGAATACACACATCTCAAACAAGTTTCTGAGAAGGCTTCCGTCTAGTTTTTACGGGAAGATATTTCCTTTTTCAAAATAAGCCTCAAAGCGCTCGAAATCTCCACTTCCAGGGAGTGCAGAAAGAGTGTTTCAAACCTGCTCTATAAAAGAATATTTAACTCTGTGACTTGAATGCAAACATCACAGAGCAGTTTCTGACAATGCTTCCGTCTAGATTTTTTATGAAGATATTCCCGTTTCTAACGAAATCTTCAAAGCTATCTAAATATCAACTTGCAGATTCTACTAAAGGAATGTTTCCAAAATGCTGTATCCAAACAAAGGTTCAACTCTGTGAATTGAGGACATACAGCACAAAGAAGTTTCTGAGAATGCTTCTGTCTAGATTTAATATGAAGATAACCCGTTTCCAACGAAATCCTCAAAGCTATCCAAATATCCACTGGCAGATTCTACAAAAAGAGTGTTTCAAAACTGCTCTGTCAAAAGGATGGTTCAACACTGTTACATGAGTACACACAACACAAAGAAGTTTCTGAGAACGCTTCTTTCTGGTTTTTATGAGAGGATATTTCCTTTTTCACCATAGGCCTCAAAGCGCTCGAAATGTCCACTTCCAGGTAGTGCAGAAAGAGTGTTTCAAACCTGCTCTATGGAAGGAAGTGTTCAACTCCATGAGCTGAATGCAAACATCACAGAGAAGTTCCTGAGAATGCTTCTGTTTGATTTTATATGAAGAAATTCCCGTTTCCAACGAAATCTTCAAAGCTATCCACATATCCACCTGCAGATTCTTCAAAAGGAGTGTTTCCAAAATGCTGTATCAAAACCAAGGTTCAACTCTGTTAGTTGAGGACACACATCACAAATAAGTTTCTGAGAATGCTTCTGTCTAGATTTTATATGAATTTATCCCCTTTCCAACGAATCCCTCTAAGCTATCCAAGTATCCACCTGCAGATTCTACAAAAAGAGTGTTTCCAAAATGCTGTATCAAAACAAAGTTTCAACTCTGTTAGTTGAGGACACACATCACAAATAAGTTTCTGAGGATGCTTCTGTCTAGTTTTAATTTGAAGATATTTCCTTTCTCCCCATAGGCCTGAAAGCGCTTGAAATGTCCACTTCCAGATACTACAGAATGAGTGTTTCAAACCTGCTCTATCAAAGTGAATGTTCAATTCTGTGACTTCAATGCAAACATCACAAAGTAGATCCTGAGAATGCTTCTCTCTACATTTTATATGTAATCCCGCTTCCAACGAAATCCTCAAAGCCATCCGAATATCCACTTTCTGATTCCACAAAAAGATTGTTTTAAAACTGCTCTGTAAAAACAAAAGTTCAAGTCTGTTAGTTGAATACACACATCACAAACAAGTTTCTGAGAATGCTTCTGTCTAGTTTTTATGGGAAGATATTTCCTTTTTCACCATAGGCCTCAAAGCGCTCGAAATGTCCACTTCCAGATAGTGCCGAAAGAGTGTTTCAAACGTGCTCTATAAAAGGGAATATTCAACTCTGTGACTTGAATGGAAACATCACAAAGCAGTTTCTGAGAATGCCTCCGTCTAGATTTTATATGAAGATATTCCCGTTTCCAACGAAATCTTCAAATCTATCTAAATATCAACTTGCAGATTCTACTAAAGGAATGTTTCCAAAATGCTGTATCCAAGCAATGGTTCAACTCTGTTAATTGAGGACATACAGCACAAAGAAGTTTCTGAGAATGCTTCTGTCTAGATTTTATATGAAGATATCCCGTTTCCAACGAAATCCTCAAAGCTATCCAAATATCCACTTGCAGATTCTACAAAAAGATTGTTTCAAAACTGCTGTGTCAAAAGGAAGGTTCAACTCTGTTACTTGAGTACACACATCAAAAAGAAGTTTCTGAGAATGCTTGTTTCTGGTTTTTATGAGAAGATATTTCCTTTTTCACCATAGGCCTCAAAGCGCTGCAAATTTCCACTTCCAAATATTACAAAAAGAGTGTTTCAAACCTGCTCTATGAAAGGAAGTTTTCAACTCTATGAGTGGAATGCAAACATCACAGAGAAGTTTCTGAGAATGCATCTGTCTTGAGTTTATATGAAGACATTCCCGTTTCCAACGAAATCTTAAAATCTATCCAAATATCCACCTGCAGATTCTACAAAAGGAGTGTTTCCAAAAGGCTGTATCAAAACAAAGGTTCAACTGTGTTCGTTTAGGACACACATCACCAATAAGTTTCTGAGAATCCTTCTGTCTAGTTTTTATTTGAAGATATTTCCTTTCTCCCCATAGGCCTGAAAGCGCTTGAAATGTCCACTTCCAGATACTACAGAAAGAGCGTTTCAAACCTGCACTATGAAAAGGAATGTTCAATTCTGTGACTTGAATGCAAACATCAGAAAGAAGTTCCTGAGAATGCTTCTCTCTAGATTTTATACGTCATCCCGTTTCCAACGAAATCCACAAAGCTATCCAATTATCCACTTTCAGATTTCACAGAAAGAGTGTTTTAAAATTGCTCTGTAACAGAAATGTTCAACTCTGTTAGTTGAATACACACATCACAAACAAGTTTCTGAGACGGCTTCTGTCTAGTTTTTATGGGAAGATATTTCCTTTTAAGCATAGGCCTCAAAGAGCTCGAAATATCCACTTCCAGGTAGTGCCGAAAGAGTGTTTCAAACCTACTCTATAAAAGGGAATATTCAACTCTGTGACTTGAATGCAAACATCACAAAGCAGTTTATGAGAATGCTTCCGTCTAGATTTTCTATGAAGATATTCCCGTTTCCAATGAAATCTTCAAAGCTATCTAAATATCAACTTGCAGATTCTACTAAAGGAATGTTTCCAAAATGCTGTATCCAAACATAGGTTCAGCTCTGTGAATTGAGGACATACAGCACAAAGAAGTTTCTGTGAATGCTCCTGTCTGGATTTTATATGAAGATAACCCGTTTCCAACGAAATCCTCAAAGCTATCCAAATATCCCCTTGCAGATTCTACCAAAAGAGTGTTTCAAACCTGCTCTGTCAAAAGGAAGGTTCAACACTGTTACTTGAGTACACACAACACAAAGAAGTTTCTGAGAATGCTTCCTTCTGGTTTTTATGAGAAGATATTTCCTTTTTCACCATAGGCCTCAAAGCGCTCGAAATGTCCGCTTCCAGGTAGTGCAGAAAGAGTGTTTCAAACCTGCTCTATGAAAGGAAGTGTTCAACTCCATGAGCTGAATGCAAACATCACAGAGAAGTTTCTGAGAATGCTTCTGTTTGATTTTACATGAAGAAATTCCCGTTTCCAACGAAATCTTCAAAGCTATCCACATATCCACCTGCAGATTCTACAAAAGGAGGGTTTCCAAAATGCTGTATCAAAACCAAGGTTCAACTCTGTTAGTTGAGGACACACATCACAAATAAGTTTCTGAGAATGCTTCTGTCTAGATTTTATATGAAGATATCCCCTTTCCAACGAATCCCTCTAAGCTATCCAAATATCCACCTGCAGATTCTACAAAAAGAGTGTTTCCAAAAGGCTGTATCAAAACAAAATTTCAACTCTGTTAGTTGAGGACACACATCACAAATAAGTTTCTGACGATGTTTCTGTCTAGTTTTTATTTGAAGATATTTCCTTTCTCACCATAGGCCTGAAAGCGCTTGAAATGTCCACTTCCAGATACTACAGAATGAGTGTTTCAAACCTGCTCTATAAAAGTGAATGATCAATTCTGTGACTTCAATGCAAACATCACAAAGAAGTTCCTGAGAATGCTTCTCTCTAGATTTTATATGTAATCCCGCTTCCAACGAAATCCTCAGAGCCATCCGAATATCCACTTTCTGATTCCACAAAAAGAGTGTTTTAAAACTGCTCTGTAGAAACAAAAGTTCAACTCAGTTGAATACACACATCACAAACAAGTTTCTGAGAATGCTTCTGTCTAGTTTTTATGGGAAGATATTTCCTTTTTCACCATAGGCCTCAAAGCGCTCGAAATGTCCACTTCCAGATAGTGCAGAAAGAGTGTTTCAAACGTGCTCTATAAAAGAGAATATTCAACTCTGTGACTTGAATGGAAACATCACAAAGCAGTTTCTGAGAATGCTTCCGTCTGGACTTTATATGAAGATATTCCCGTTTCCAACGAAATCTTCAAATCTATCTAAATATCAACTTGCAGATTCTACTAAAGGAATGTTTCCAAAATGCTGTATCCAAGCAATGGTTCAACTCTGTTAATTGAGGACATACAGCACAAAGAAGTTTCTGAGAATGATTCTGTCTAGATTTTATATGAAGATATCCCGTTTCCAACGAAATCCTCAAAGCTATCCAAATATCCACTTGCAGATACTACAAAAAGATTGTTTCAAAACTGCTGTGTCAAAAGGAAGGTTCAACTCTGTTACTTGAGTACACACATCAAAAAGAAGTTTCTGAGAATGCTTGTTTCTGGTTTTTATGAGAAGATATTTCCTTTTTCACCATAGGCCTCAAAGCGCTGCAAATGTCCACTTCCAAATATTAAAAAAGAGTGTTTCAAACCTGCTCTATGAAAGGAAGTTTTCAACTCTATGAGTGGAATGAAAACATCACAGAGAAGTTTCGGAGAATGCATCTGTCTTGAGTTTATATGAAGAAATTCCCGTTTCCAACGAAATCTTAAAATCTATCCAAATATCCACCTGCAGATTCTACAAAGGGAGTGTTTCCAAAATGCTGTATCAAAACAAAGGTTCAACTGTGTTCGTTTAGGACACACATCACCAATAAGTTTCTGAGAATCCTTCTGTCTAGTTTTTAATTTGAAGATATTTCCTTTCTCCCCATAGGCCTGAAAGCGCTTGAAATGTCCACTTCCAGATAGTACAGAAAGAGTGTTTCAAACCTGCACTATGAAAAGGAATGTTCAATTCTGTGACTTGAATGCAAACATCAGTAAGAAGTTTCTGAGAATGCTTCTCTCTAGATTTTATACGTAATCCCGTTTCCAAAGAAATCCACAAAGCTATCCAATTATCCACTTTCAGATTCCACAAAAAGAGTGTTTTAAAACTGCTGTGTAGAAGGAAATGTTCAACGCTCTTAGTTGAATACACACATCTCAAACAAGTTTCTGAGAAGGCTTCCGTCTAGTTTTTATGGGAAGATATTTCCTTTTTCACCAAAGGCCTCAAAGCGCTCGAAATCTCCACTTCCAGGGAGTGCAGAAAGAGTGTTTCAAACCTGCTCTGTAAAAGAATATTTAACTCTGTGACTTGAATGCAAACATCACAAAGCAGTTTCTGACAATGCTTCCGTCTAGATTTTTTATGAAGATATTCCCGTTTCCAACGAAATCTTCAAAGCTATCTAAATATCAACTTGCAGATTCTACTAAAGGAATGTTTCCAAAATGCTGTATCCAAACAAAGGTTCAACTCTGTGAATTGAGGACATACAGCACAAAGAAGTTTCTGAGAATGCTTCTGTCTAGATTTAATATGAAGATAACCCGTTTCCAACGAAATCCTCAAAGCTATCCAAATATCCACTTGCAGATTCTACAAAAAGAGTGTTTCAAAACTGCTCTGTCAAAAGGATGGTTCAACACTGTTACACGAGTACACACAACACAAAGAAGTTTCTGAGAACGCTTCTTTCTGGTTTTTATGAGAAGATATTTCCTTTTTCACCATAGGCCTCAAAGCGCTCGAAATGTCCACTTCCTGGTAGTGCAGAAAGAGTGTTGCAAACCTGCTCTATGAAAGGAAGTGTTCAACTCCATGAGCTGAATGCAAACATCACAGAGAAGTTTCTGAGAATGCTTCTGTTTGATTTTACATGAAGAAATTCCCGTTTCCAACGAAATCTTCAAAGCTATCCACATATCCACCTGCAGATTCTACAAAAGGAGTGTTTCCCAAAATGCTGTATCAAAACCAAGGTTCAACTCTGTTAGTTGAGGACACACATCACAAATAAGTTTCTGAGAATGCTTCTGTCTAGATTTTCTATGAAGATATCCCCTTTCCAACGAATCCCTCTAAGCTATCCAAATATCCACCTGCAGATTCTACAAAAAGAGTGTTTCCAAAATGCTGTATCAAAACAAAGTTTCAACTCTGTTAGTTGAGAACACACATCACAAATAAGTTTCTGAGGATGCTTCTCTCTAGTTTTTATTTGAAGATATTTCCTTTCTCCCCATAGGCCTGAAAGCGCTTGAATTGTCCGCTTCCAGATCCTACAGAATGAGTGTTTCAAACCTGCTCTATCAAAGTGAATGTTCAATTCTGTGACTTCAATACAAACATCACAAAGTAGTTCCTGAGAATGCTTCTCTCTAGATTTTATATGTAATCCCGCTTCCAACGAAGTCCTCAAAGCCATCCGAATATCCACTTTCTGATTCCACAAAAAGATTGTCTTAAAACTGCTCTGTAAAAACAAAAGTTCAAGTCTGTTAGTTGAATACACACATCACAAACAAGTTTCTGAGAATGATTCTGTCTAGTTTTTATGGGAAGATATTTCCTTTTTCACCATAGGCCTCACAGCGCTTGAAATGTCCACTTCCAGATAGTGCAGAAAGAGTGTTTCAAACGTGCTCTATAAAAGAGAATATTCAACTCTGTGACTTGAATGGAAACATCACAAAGCAGTTTCTGAGAATGCCTCCGTCTAGATTTTATATGAAGATATTCCCGTTTCCAACGAAATCTTCAAATCTATCTAAATATCAACTTGCAGATTCTACTAAAGGAATGTTTCCAAAATGCTGTATGCAAGCAATGGTTCAACTCTGCTAATTGAGGACATACAGCACAAAGAAGTTTCTGAGAATGCTTCTGTCTAGATTTTATATGAAGATATCCCGTTTCCAACGAAATCCTCAAAGCTATCCAAATATCCACTTGCAGATTCTACAAAAAGATTGTTTCAAAACTGCTGTGTCAAAAGGAAGGTTCAACTCTGTTACTTGAGTACACACATCAAAAAGAAGTTTCTGAGAATGCTTGTTTCTGGTTTTTATGAGAAGATATTTCCTTTTTCACCATAGGCCTCAAAGCGCTGCAAATGTCCACTTCCAAATATTACAAAAAGAGTGTTTCAAACCTGCTCTATGAAAGGAAGTTTTCAACTCTATGAGTGGAATGCAAACATCACAGAGAAGTTTCTGAGAATGCATCTGTCTTGAGTTTATATGCAGAAATTCCCGTTTCCAACGAAATCTTAAAATCTATCCAAATATCCACCTGCAGATCCTACAAAAGGAGTGTTTCCAAAATGCTGTATCAAAACAAAGGTTCAACTGTGTTCGTTTAGGACACACATCACAAATAAGTTTCTGAGAATCCTTCTGTCTAGTTTTTATTTGAAGATATTTCCTTTCTCCCCGTAGGCCTGAAAGCGCTTGAAATGTCCACTTCCAGATACTACAGAAAGAGTGTTTCAAACCTGCACTCTGAAAAGGAATGTCAATTCTGTGACCTGAATGCAAACATCAGAAAGAAGTTCCTGAGAATGCTTCTCTCTAGATTTTATACGTCATCCCGTTTCCAACGAAATCCACAAAGCTATCCAATTATCCACTTTCAGATTCCACAAAAAGAGTGTTTTAAAATTGCTCTGTAACAGAAATGTTCAACTCTGGTAGTTGAATACACACATCACAAACAAGTTTCTGAGACGGCTTCTGTCTAGTTTTTATGGGAAGATATTTCCTTTTAACCATAGGCCTCAAAGAGCTCGAAATATCCACTTCCAGGTAGTGCCGAAAGAGTGTTTCAAACCTACTCTATAAAAGGGAATATTCAACTCTGTGACTTGAATGCAAACATCACAAAGCAGTTTCTGAGAATGCTTCCGTCTAGATTTTCTATGAAGATATTCCCGTTTCCAACGAAATCTTCACAGCTATCTAAATATCAACTTGCAGATTCTACTAAAGGAATGTCTCCAAAATGCTGTATCCAAACAAAGGTTCAGCTCTGTGAATTGAGGACATACAGCACAAAGAAGTTTCTGAGAATGCTCCTGTCTGGATTTTATAGGAAGATAACCCGTTTCCAACGAAATCCTCAAAGCTATCCAAATATCCACTTGCAGATTCTACCAAAAGAGTGTTTCAAAACTGCTCTGTCAAAAGGAAGGTTCAACACTGTTACTTGAGTACACACAACACAAAGAAGTTTCTGAGAATGCTTCTTTCTGGTTTTTATGAGAAGACATTTCCTTTTTCACCATAGGCCTCAAAGCGCTCGAAATGTCCACTTCCAGGTAGTGCAGAAAGAGTGTTTCAAACCTGCTCTATGAAAGGAAGTGTTCAACTCTACTGAGTTGAATGCAAACATCACAGAGATGTTTCCGAGAATGCTTCTGTCTTGATTTTATATGAAGATATTCCGGTTTCCAACGAAATCTTCAAAGCTATCCAAATATCCACCTGCAGATTCTACAAAAGGAGTGTTTCCAAAATGCTGTATCAAAACAAAGGTTCAACTCTGTTAGTTGAGGACACACATCACAAATAAGTTTCTGAGAATGCTTCTGTCTAGTTTTTATTTGAAGGTATTTCCTTTCTCTCCATAGGCCTGAAAGCGCTTGAAATGCCCACTTCCAGATACTAGAGAAAGAGTGTTTCAAACCTGCTCTATGAAAGGGAATGTTCAATTCTGTGACTTGAATGCAAACATCACAAAGAAGTTCCTGAGAATGCTTCTCTCTAGATATTATATGTCATCCCGTTTCCAACGAAATCCTCAAAGCTATCCAAATATCCACTTGCAGATTCTACAAAAAGAGTGTTTCAAAACTGCTCTGTCAAAAGGATGGTTCAACACTGTTACATGAGTACACACAACACAAAGAAGTTTCTGAGAATGCTTCTTTCTGGTTTCTATGAGAAGATATTTCCTTTTTCACCATAGGACTCAAAGCGCTCGAAATGTCCTCTTCCAGGTAGTGCAGAAAGAGTGTTTCAAACCGGCTCTATGAAAGGAAGTGTTCAACTCCATGAACTGAATGCAAACATCACTGAGAAGTTTCTGAGAATGCTTCTGTTTGATTTTATATGAAGAAATTCCCGTTTCCAACGAAATCTTCAAAGCTATCCACATATCCACCTGCAGATTCTACAAAAGGAGTGTTTCCAAAATGCTGTATCAAAACCAAGGTTCCACTCTGTTAGTTGAGGACACACATCACAAATAAGTTTCTGAGAATGCTTCTGTCTAGATTTTATATGAAGATATCCCCTTTCCAACGAATCCCTCTAAGCTATCCAAATATCCACCTGCAGATTCTACAAAAAGAGTGTTTCCAAAATGCTGTATCAAAACAAAGTTTCAACTCTGTTAGTTGAGGACACACATCACAAATAAGTTTGAGGATGCTTCTGTCTAGTTTTTATTCGAAGATATTTCCTTTCTCACCATAGGCCTGAAAGCGCTTGAAATGTCCACTTCCAGATACTACAGAATGAGTGTTTCAAACCTGCTCTATCAAAGTGAATGTTCAATTCTGTGACTTCAATGCAAACATCACAAAGAAGTTCCTGAGAATGCTTCTCTCTAGATTTTATATGTAATCCCGCTTCCAACGAAATCCTCAGAGCCATCCGAATATCCACTTTCTGATTCCACATAAAGAGTGTTTTAAAACGGCTCTGTAAAAACAAAAGTTCAACTCTGTTAGTTGAATACACACATCACAAACAAGTTTCTGAGAATGCTTCTGTCTAGTTTTTATGGGAAGATATTTCCTTTTTCACCATAGGCCTCAAAGCGCTCGAAATGTCCACTTCCAGATAGTGCAGAAAGAGTGTTTCAAACGTGCTCTATAAAAGGGAATATTCAACTCTGTGACTTGAATGGAAACATCACAAAGCAGTTTCTGAGAATGCTTCCCTCTAGATTTTATATGGAGATATTCCGTTTTCGAACGAAATCTTCAAATCTATCTAAATATCAACTTGCAGATTCTACTCAAGGAATGTTTCCAAAATGCTGTATGCAAGCAATGGTTCAACTCTGTTAATTGAGGTCATACAGCACAAAGAAGTTTCTGAGAATGCTTCTGTCTAGATTTTATATGAAGATATCCCGTTTCCAACGAAATCCTCAAAGCTATCCAAATATCCACTTGCAGATTCTACAAAAAGATTGTTTCAAAACTGCTGTGTCAAAAGGAAGGTTCAACTCTGTTACTTGAGTACACACATCAAAAAGAAGTTTCTGAGAATGCTTGTTTCTGGTTTTTATGAGAAGATATTTCCTTTTTCACCATAGGCCTCAAAGCGCTGCAAATGTCCACTTCCAAATATTACAAAAAGAGTGTTTCAAACCTGCTCTATGAAAGGAAGTTTTCAACTCTATGAGTGGAATGCACACATCACAGAGAAGTTTCTGAGAATGCATCTGTCTTGAGTTTCTATGCAGAAATTCCCGTTTCCAACGAAATCTTAAAATCTATCCAAATATCCACCTGCAGATCCTACAAAAGGAGTGTTTCCAAAATGCTGTATCAAAACAAAGGTTCAACTGTGTTCGTTTAGGACACACATCACAAATAAGTTTCTGAGAATCCTTCTGTCTAGTTTTTATTTGAAGATATTTCCTTTCTCCCCGTAGGCCTGAAAGCGCTTGAAATGTCCACTTCCAGATACTACAGAAAGAGTGTTTCAAACCTGCACTCTGAAAAGGAATGTTCAATTCTGTGACTTGAATGCAAACATCAGAAAGAAGTTCCTGAGAATGCTTCTCTCTAGATTTTATACGTCATCCCGTTTCCAACGAAATCCACAAAGCTATCCAATTATCCACTTTCAGATTCCACAAAAAGAGTGTTTTAAAATTGCTCTGTAACAGAAATGTTCAACTCTGTTAGTTGAATACACACATCACAAACGAGTTTCTGAGACGGCTTCTGTCTAGTTTTTATGGGAAGATATTTCCTTTTAACCATAGGCCTCAAAGAGCTCGAAATATCCACTTCCAGGTAGTGCCGAAAGAGTGTTTCAAACCTACTCTATAAAAGGGAATATTCAACTCTGTGACTTGAATGCAAACATCACAAAGCAGTTTCTGAGAATGCTTCCGTCTAGATTTTCTATGAAGATATTCCCGTTTCCAACGAAATCTTCAAAGCTATCTAAATATCAACTTGCAGATTCTACTAAAGGAATGTCTCCAAAATGCTGTATCCAAACAAAGGTTCAGCTCTGTGAATTGAGGACATACAGCACAAAGAAGTTTCTGAGAATGCTCCTGTCTGGATTTTATAGGAAGATAACCCGTTTCCAACGAAATCCTCAAAGCTATCCAAATATCCACTTGCAGATTCTACCAAAAGAGTGTTTCAAAACTGCTCTGTCAAAAGGAAGGTTCAACACTGTTACTTGAGTACACACAACACAAAGAAGTTTCTGAGAATGCTTCTTTCTGGTTTTTATGAGAAGATATTTCCTTTTTCACCATAGGCCTCAAAGCGCTCGAAATGTCCGCTTCCAGGTAGTGCAGAAAGAGTGTTTGAAACCTGCTCTATGAAAGGAAGTGTTCAACTCTACTGAGTTGAATGCAAACATCACAGAGATGTTTCCGAGAATGCTTCTGTCTTGATTTTATATGAAGATATTCCGGTTTCCAACGAAATCTTCAAAGCTATCCAAATATCCACCTGCAGATTCTACAAAAGGAGTGTTTCCAAAATGCTGTATCAAAACAAAGGTTCAACTCTGTTAGTTGAGGACACACATCACAAATAAGTTTCTGAGAATGCTTCTGTCTAGTTTTTATTTGAAGGTATTTCCTTTCTCTCCATAGGCCTGAAAGCGCTTGAAATGCCCACTTCCAGATACTAGAGAAAGAGTGTTTCAAACCTGCTCTATGAAAGGGAATGTTCAATTCTGTGACTTGAATGCAAACATCACAAAGAAGTTCCTGAGAATGCTTCTCTCTAGATATTATATGTCATCCCGTTTCCAACGAAATCCTCAAAGCTATCCAAATATCCACTTGCAGATTCTACAAAAAGAGTGTTTCAAAACTGCTCTGTCAAAAGGATGGTTCAACACTGTTACATGAGTACACACAACACAAAGAAGTTTCTGAGAATGCTTCTTTCTGGTTTCTATGAGAAGATATTTCCTTTTTCACCATAGGACTCAAAGCGCTCAAAATGTCCTCTTCCAGGTAGTGCAGAAAGAGTGTTTCAAACCTGCTCTATGAAAGGAAGTGTACAACTCCATGAGCTGAATGCAAACATCACTGAGAAGTTTCTGAGAATGCTTCTGTTTGATTTTATATGAAGAAATTCCCGTTTCCAACGAAATCTTCAGAGCTATCCACATATCCACCTGCAGATTCTACAAAAGGAGTGTTTCCAAAATGCTGTATCAAAACCAAGGTTCAACTCTGTTAGTTGAGGACACACATCACAAATAAGTTTCTGAGAATGCTTCTGTCTAGATTTTATATGAAGATATCCCCTTTCCAACGAATCCCTCTAAGCTATCCAAATATCCACCTGCAGATTCTACAAAAAGAGTGTTTCCAAAATGCTGTATCAAAACAAAGTTTCAACTCTGTTAGTTGAGGACACACATCACAAATAAGTTTCTGAGGATGCTTCTGTCTAGTTTTTATTTGAAGATATTTCCTTTCTCCCCATAGGCCTGAAAGCGCTTGAATTGTCCGCTTCCAGATACTACAGAATGAGTGTTTCAAACCTGCTCTGTCAAAGTGAATGTTCAATTCTGTGACTTCAATGCAAACATCACAAAGTAGTTCCTGAGAATGCTTGTCTCTCTAGATTTTATATGTAATCCCGCTTCCAACGAAATCCTCAGAGCCATCCGAATATCCACTTTCTGATTCCACAAAAAGAGTGTTTTAAAACGGCTCTGTAAAAACAAAAGTTCAACTCTGTTAGTTGAATACACACATCACAAACAAGTTTCTGAGAATGCTTTTGTCTAGTTTTTATGGGAAGATATTTCCTTTTTCACCATAGGCCTCAAAGTGCTCGAAATGTCCGCTTCCAGATAGTGCAGAAAGAGTGTTTCAAACGTGCTCTATAAAAGGGAATATTCAACTCTGTGACTTGAATGGAAACATCACAAAGCAGTTTCTGAGAATGCTTCCGTCTAGATTTTATATGAAGATATTCCCGTTTCCAACGAAATCTTCAAATCTATCTAAATATCAACTTGCAGATTCTACTAAAGGAATGTTTCCAAAATGCTGTATGCAAGCAATGGTTCAACTCTGTTAATTGAGGACATAGAGCACAAAGAAGTTTCTGAGAATGCTTCTGTCTAGATTTTATATGAAGATATCCCGTTTCCAACGAAATCCTCAAAGCTATCCAAATATCCACTTGCAGATTCTACAAAAAGATTGTTTCAAAACTGCTGTGTCAAAAAGAAGGTTCAACTCTGTTACTTGAGTACACACATCAAAAAGAAGTTTCTGAGAATGCTTGTTTCTGGTTTTTATGAGAAGATATTTCCTTTTTCACCATAGGCCTCAAAGCGCTGCAAATGTCCACTTCCAAATATTACAAAAAGAGTGTTTCAAACCTGCTCTATGAAAGGAAGTTTTCAACTCTATGAGTGGAATGCAAACATCACAGAGAAGTTTCTGAGAATGCATCTGTCTTGAGCTTCTATGAAGAAATTCCCGTTTCCAACGAAATTTTAAAATCTATCCAAATATCCACCTGCAGATCCTACAAAAGGAGTGTTTCCAAAATGCTGTATCAAAACAAAGGTTCAACTGTGTTCGTTTAGGACACACATCACAAATAAGTTTCTGAGAATCCTTCTGTCTAGTTTTTATTTGAAGATATTTCCTTTCTCCCCGTAGGCCTGAAAGCGCTTGAAATGTCCACTTCCAGATACTACAGAAAGAGTGTTTCAAACCTGCACTCTGAAAAGGAATGTTCAATTCTGTGACTTGAATGCAAACATCAGAAAGAAGTTCCTGAGAATGCTTCTCTCTAGATTTTATACGTCATCCCGTTTCCAACGAAATCCACAAAGCTATCCAATTATCCACTTTCAGATTCCACAAAAAGAGTGTTTTAAAATTGCTCTGTAACAGAAATGTTCAACTCTGTTAGTTGAATACACACATCACAAACAAGTTTCTGAGACGGCTTCTGTCTAGTTTTTATGGGAAGATATTTCCTTTTAACCATAGGCCTCAAAGAGCTCGAAATATCCACTTCCAGGTAGTGCCGAAAGAGTGTTTCAAACCTACTCTATAAAAGGGAATATTCAACTCTGTGACTTGAATGCAAACATCACAAAGCAGTTTCTGAGAATGCTTCCGTCTAGATTTTCTATGAAGATATTCCCGTTTCCAACGAAATCTTCAAAGCTATCTAAATATCAACTTGCAGATTCTACTAAAGGAATGTCTCCAAAATGCTGTATCCAAACAAAGGTTCAGCTCTGTGAATTGAGGACATACAGCACAAAGAAGTTTCTGAGAATGCTCCTGTCTGGATTTTATATGAAGACAACCCGTTTCCAACGAATTCCTCAAAGCTATCCAAATATCCACTTGCAGATTCTACCAAAAGAGTGTTTCAAAACTGCTCTGTCAAAAGGAAGGTTCAACACTGTTACTTGAGTACACACAACACAAAGAAGTTTCTGAGAATGCTTCTTTCTGGTTTTTATGAGAAGATATTTCCTTTTTCACCATAGGCCTCAAAGAGCTCGAAATGTCCGCTTCCAGGTAGGGCAGAAAGAGTGTTTCAAACCTGCTCTATGAAAGGAAGTGTTCAACTCTACTGAGTTGAATGCAAACATCACAGAGATGTTTCCGAGAATGCTTCTGTCTTGATTTTATAGGAAGATATTCCGGTTTCCAACGAAATCTTCAAAGCTATCCAAATATCCACCTGCAGATTCTACAAAAGGAGTGTTTCCAAAATGCTGTATCAAAACAAAGGTTCAACTCTGTTAGTTGAGGACACACATCACAAATAAGTTTCTGAGAATGCTTCTGTCTAGTTTTTATTTGAAGATATTTCCTTTTTCACCACAGGCCTGAAAGCGCTTGAAACGTCCGGTTGCAGATACTACAGAAAGAGTGTTTCAAACCTGCTCTATGAAAGGGAATGTTCAGTTCTGTGACTTGAATGCAAACATCACAAAGAAGTTCCTGAGAATGCTTCTCTCTAGTATATTATATGTCATCCCGTTTCCAACGAAATCCTCAAAGCTATCCAAATATCCACTTGCAGATTCTACAAAAAGAGTGTTTCAAAACTGCTCTGTCAAAAGGATGGTTCAACACTGTTACATGAGTACACACAACACAAAGAAGTTTCTGAGAATGCTTCTTTCTGGTTTCTATGAGAAGATATTTCCTTTTTCACCATAGGACTCAAAGCGCTCGAAATGTCCTCTTCCAGGTAGTGCAGAAAGAGTGTTTCAAACCGGCTCTATGAAGGGAAGTGTTCAACTCCATGAACTGAATGCAAACATCACTGAGAAGTTTCTGAGAATGCTTCTGTTTGATTTTATATGAAGAAATTCCCGTTTCCAACGAAATCTTCAGAGCTATCCACATATCCACATGCAGATTCTACAAAAGGAGTGTTTCCAAAATGCTGTATCAAAACCAAGGTTCAACTCTGTTAGTTGAGGACACACATCACAAATAAGTTTCTGAGAATGCTTCTGTCTAGATTTTATATGAAGATATCCCCTTTCCAACGAATCCCTCTAAGCTATCCAAATATCCACCTGCAGATTCTACAAAAAGAGTGTTTCCAAAATGCTGTATCAAAACAAAGTTTCAACTCTGTTAGTTGAGGACACACATCACAAATAAGTTTCTGAGGATGCTTCTGTCTAGTTTTTATTCGAAGATATTTCCTTTCTCACCATAGGCCTGAAAGCGCTTGAAATGTCCACTTCCAGATACTACAGAATGAGTGTTTCAAACCTGCTCTATAAAAGTGAATGTTCAATTCCGTGACTTCAATGCAAACATCACAAAGAAGTTGCCTGAGAATGCTTCTCTCTAGATTTTATACGTAATCCCGCTTCCAACGAAATCCTCAGAGCCATCCGAATATCCACTTTCTGATTCCACAAAAAGAGTGTTTTAAAACGGCTCTGTAAAAACAAAAGTTCAACTCTGTTAGTTGAATACACACATCACAAACAAGTTTCTGAGAATGCTTCTGTCTAGTTTTTATGGGAAGATATTTCCTTTTTCACCATAGGCCTCAAAGCGCTCGAAATGTCCGCTTCCAGATAGTGCAGAAAGAGTGTTTCAAACGTGCTCTATAAAAGGGAATATTCAACTCTGTGACTTGAATGGAAACATCACAAAGCAGTTTCTGAGAATGCTTCCCTCTAGATTTTATATGGAGATATTCCCTTTTCCAACGAAATCTTCAAATCTATCTAAATATCAACTTGCGGATTCTACTCAAGGAATGTTTCCAAAATGCTGTATGCAGGCAATGGTTCAACTCTGTTAATTGAGGACATACAGCACAAAGAAGTTTCTGAGAATGCTTCTCTCTAGATTTTATATGAAGATATCCCGTTTCCAACGAAATCCTCAAAGCTATCCAAATATCCACTTGCAGATTCTACAAAAAGATTGTTTCAAAACTGCTGTGTCAAAAGGAAGGTTCAACTCTGTTACTTGAGTACACACATCAAAAAGAAGTTTCTGAGAATGCTTGTTTCTGGTTTTTATGAGAAGATATTTCCTTTTTCACCATAGGCCTCAAAGCGCTGCAAATGTCCACTTCCAAATATTACAAAAAGAGTGTTTCAAACCTGCTCTATGAAAGGAAGTTTTCAACTCTATGAGTGGAATGCAAACATCACAGAGAAGTTTCTGAGAATGCATCTGTCTTGAGCTTCTATGAAGAAATTCCCGTTTCCAACGAAATCTTAAAATCTATCCAAATATCCACCTGCAGATCCTACAAAAGGAGTGTTTCCAAAATGCTGTATCAAAACAAAGGTTCAACTGTGTTCGTTTAGGACACACATCACAAATAAGTTTCTGAGAATCCTTCTGTCTAGTTTTTATTTGAAGATATTTCCTTTCTCCCCGTAGGCCTGAAAGCGCTTGAAATGTCCACTTCCAGATACTACAGAAAGAGTGTTTCAAACCTGCACTCTGAAAAGGAATGTTCAATTCTGTGACTTGAATGCAAACATCAGAAAGAAGTTCCTGAGAATGCTTCTCTCTAGATTTTATACGTCATCCCGTTTCCAACGAAATCCACAAAGCTATCCAATTATCCACTTTCAGATTCCACAAAGAGTGTTTTAAAATTGCTCTGTAACAGAAATGTTCAACTCTGTTAGTTGAATACACACATCACAAACAAGTTTCTGAGACGGCTTCTGTCTAGTTTTTATGGGAAGATATTTCCTTTTAACCATAGGCCTCAAAGAGCTCGAAATATCCACTTCCAGGTAGTGCCGAAAGAGTGTTTCAAACCTACTCTATAAAAGGGAATATTCAACTCTGTGACTTGAATGCAAACATCACAAAGCAGTTTCTGAGAATGCTTCCGTCTAGATTTTCTATGAAGATATTCCCGTTTCCATCGAAATCTTCAAAGCTATCTAAATATCAACTTGCAGATTCTACTAAAGGAATGTCTCCAAAATGCTGTATCCAAACAAAGGTTCAGCTCTGTGAATTGAGGACATACAGCACAAAGAAGTTTCTGAGAATGCTCCTGTCTGGATTTTATATGAAGATAACCCGTTTCCAACGAAATCCTCAAAGCTCTCCAAATATCCACTTGCAGATTCTACCAAAAGAGTGTTTCAAAACTGCTCTGTCAAAAGGAAGGTTCAACACTGTTACTTGAGTACACACAACACAAAGAAGTTTCTGAGAATGCTTCTTTCTGGTTTTTATGAGAAGATATTTCCTTTTTCACCATAGGCCTCAAAGCGCTCGAAATGTCCGCTTCCAGGTAGTGCAGAAAGAGTGTTTCAAACCTGCTCTATGAAAGGAAGTGTTCAACTCTACTGAGTTGAATGCAAACATCACAGAGATGTTTCCGAGAATGCTTCTGTCTTGATTTTATATGAAGATATTCCGGTTTCCAACGAAATCTTCAAAGCTATCCAAATATCCACCTGCAGATTCTACAAAAGGAGTGTTTCCAAAATGCTGTATCAAAACAAAGGTTCAACTCTGTTAGTTGAGGACACACATCACAAATAAGTTTCTGAGAATGCTTCTGTCTAGTTTTTATTTGAAGGTATTTCCTTTCTCTCCATAGGCCTGAAAGCGCTTGAAATGCCCACTTCCAGATACTAGAGAAAGAGTGTTTCAAACCTGCTCTATGAAAGGGAATGTTCAATTCTGTGACTTGAATGCAAACATCACAAAGAAGTTCCTGAGAATGCTTCTCTCTAGATATTATATGTCATCCCGTTTCCAACGAAATCCTCAAAGCTATCCAAATATCCACTTGCAGATTCTACAAAAAGAGTGTTTCAAAACTCCTCTGTCAAAAGGATGGTTCAACACTGTTACATGAGTACACACAACACAAAGAAGTTTCTGAGAATGCTTCTTTCTGGTTTCTATGAGAAGATATTTCCTTTTTCACCATAGGACTCAAAGCGCTCGAAATGTCCTCTTCCAGGTAGTGCAGAAAGAGTGTTTCAAACCTGCTCTATGAAAGGAAGTGTTCAACTCCATGAGCTGAATGCAAACATCACTGAGAAGTTTCTGAGAATGCTTCTGTTTGATTTTATATGAAGAAATTCCCGTTTCCAACGAAATCTTCAGAGCTATCCACATATCCACCTGCAGATTCTACAAAAGGAGTGTTTCCAAAATGCTGTATCAAAACCAAGGTTCAACTCTGTTAGTTGAGGACACACATCACAAATAAGTTTCTGAGAATGCTTCTGTCTAGATTTTATATGAAGATATCCCCTTTCCAACGAATCCCTCTAAGCTATCCAAATATCCACCTGCAGATTCTACAAAAAGAGTGTTTCCAAAATGCTGTATCAAAACAAAGTTTCAACTCTGTTAGTTGAGAACACACATCACAAATAAGTTTCTGAGGATGCTTCTCTCTAGTTTTTATTTGAAGATATTTCCTTTCTCCCCATAGGCCTGAAAGCGCTTGAATTGTCCGCTTCCAGATACTACAGAATGAGTGTTTCAAACCTGCTCTATCAAAGTGAATGTTCAATTCTGTGACTTCAATACAAACATCACAAAGTAGTTCCTGAGAATGCTTCTCTCTAGATTTTATATGTAATCCCGCTTCCAACGAAGTCCTCAAAGCCATCCGAATATCCACTTTCTGATTCCACAAAAAGATTGTCTTAAAACTGCTCTGTAAAAACAAAAGTTCAAGTCTGTTAGTTGAATACACACATCACAAAGAAGTTTCTGAGAATGCTTCTGTCTAGTTTTTATGGGAAGATATTTCCTTTTTCACCATAGGCCTCACAGCGCTTGAAATGTCCACTTCCAGATAGTGCAGAAAGAGTGTTTCAAACGTGCTCTATAAAAGAGAATATTCAACTCTGTGACTTGAATGGAAACATCACAAAGCAGTTTCTGAGAATGCCTCCGTCTAGATTTTATATGAAGATATTCCCGTTTCCAACGAAATCTTCAAATCTATCTAAATATCAACTTGCACATTCTACTAAAGGAATGTTTCCAAAATGCTGTATCCAAGCAATGGTTCAACTCTGTTAATTGAGGACATACAGCACAAAGAAGTTTCTGAGAATGCTTCTGTCTAGATTTTATATGAAGATATCCCGTTTCCAACGAAATCCTCAAAGCTATCCAAATATCCACTTGCAGATTCTACAAAAAGATTGTTTCAAAACTACTGTGTCAAAAGGAAGGTTCAACTCTGTTACTTGAGTACACACATCAAAAAGAAGTTTCTGAGAATGCTTCTGTCTGGTTTTTAGTAGAAGATATTCCCTTTTTCAACATAGGCCTCAAAGCGCTGCAAATGGCCACTTCCAAATATTACAAAAAGAGTGTTTCAAACCTGCTGTATGAAGGGAAGTGTTCAACTCTATGAGTTGAATGCAAACATCACAAAGAAGTTTCTGAGAATGCTTCTGTCTTGATTTTATATGAAGATATTCCCGTTTCCAACGAAACCTTCAAAGCTATCCAAATATCCACCTGCAGATCCTACAAAAAGAGTGTTTCCAAAATGCTGTATCAAAACAAAGGTTCAACTCTGTTAGTTGAGAACACACATCGCAAATAAGTTTCTGAGAATGCTTCTGTCTAGTTTTTATTTGAAGATATTTCCTTTCTCCCCGTAGGCCTGAAAGCGCTTGAAATGTCCACTTCCAGATACTACAGAAAGAGTGTTTCAAACCTGCACTCTGAAAAGGAATGTTCAATTCTGTGACTTGAATGCAAACATCAGAAAGAAGTTCCTGAGAATGCTTCTCTCTAGATTTTATACGTCATCCCGTTTCCAACGAAATCCACAAAGCTATCCAATTATCCACTTTCAGATTCCACAAAAAGAGTGTTTTAAAATTGCTCTGTAACAGAAATGTTCAACTCTGTTAGTTGAATACACACATCACAAACAAGTTTCTGAGACGGCTTCTGTCTAGTTTTTATGGGAAGATATTTCCTTTTAACCATAGGCCTCAAAGAGCTCGAAATATCCACTTCCAGGTAGTGCCGAAAGAGTGTTTCAAACCTACTCTATAAAAGGGAATATTCAACTCTGTGACTTGAATGCAAACATCACAAAGCAGTTTCTGAGAATGCTTCCGTCTAGATTTTCTATGAAGATATTCCCAGTTTCCAACGAAATCTTCAAAGCTATCTAAATATCAACTTGCAGATTCTACTAAAGGAATGCCTCCAAAATGCTGTATCCAAACAAAGGTTCAGCTCTGTGAATTGAGGATATACAGCACAAAGAAGTTTCTGAGAATGCTCCTGTCTGGATTTTATATGAAGATAACCCGTTTCCAACGAAATCCTCAAAGCTATCCAAATATCCACTTGCAGATTCTACCAAAAGAGTGTTTCAAAACTGCTCTGTCAAAAGGAAGGTTCAACACTGTTACTTGAGTACACACAACACAAAGAAGTTTCTGAGAATGCTTCTTTCTGGTTTTTATGAGAAGATATTTCCTTTTTCACCATAGGCCTCAAAGAGCTCGAAATGTCCGCTTCCAGGTAGGGCAGAAAGAGTGTTTCAAACCTGCTCTATGAAAGGACGTGTTCAACTCTACTGAGTTGAATGCAAACATCACAGAGATGTTTCCGAGAATGCTTCTGTCTTGATTTTATAGGAAGATATTCCGGTTTCCAACGAAATCTTCAAAGCTATCCACATATCCACCTGCAGATTCTACAAAAGGAGTGTTTCCAAAATGCTGTATCAAAACAAAGGTTCAACTCTGTTAGTTGAGGACACACATCACAAATAAGTTTCTGAGAATGCTTCTGTCTAGTTTTTATTCGAAGGTATTTCCTTTCTCTCCATAGGCCTGAAAGCGCTTGAAATGCCCACTTCCAGATACTAGAGAAAGAGTGTTTCAAACCTGCTCTATGATAGGGAATGTTCAATTCTGTGACTTGAATGCAAACATCACAAAGAAGTTCCTGAGAATGCTTCTCTCTAGATATTATATGTCATCCCGTTTCCAACGAAATCCTCAAAGCTATCCAAATATCCACTTGCAGATTCTACAAAAAGAGTGTTTCAAAACTCCTCTGTCAAAAGGATGGTTCAACACTGTTACATGAGTACACACAACACAAAGAAGTTTCTGAGAATGCTTCTTTCTGGTTTCTATGAGAAGATATTTCCTTTTTCACCATAGGACTCAAAGCGCTCGAAATGTCCTCTTCCAGGTAGTGCAGAAAGAGTGTTTCAAACCTGCTCTATGAAAGGAAGTGTACAACTCCATGAGCTGAATGCAAACATCACTGAGAAGTTTCTGAGAATGCTTCTGTTTGATTTTATATGAAGAAATTCCCGTTTCCAATGAAATCTTCAAATCTATCCACATATCCACCTGCAGATTCTACAAAAGGAGTGTTTCCAAATTGCTGTATCAAAACCAACGTTCAACTCTGTTAGTTGAGGACACACATCACAAATAAGTTTCTGAGAATGCTTCTGTCTAGATTTTATATGAAGATATCCCCTTTCCAACGAATCCCTCTAAGGTATCCAAATATCCACCTGCAGATTCTACAAAAAGAGTGTTTCCAAAATGCTGTATCAAAACAAAGTTTCAACTCTGTTAGTTGAGGACACACATCACAAATAAGTTTGAGGATGCTTCTGTCTAGTTTTTATTTGAAGGTATTTCCTTTCTCACCATAGGCCTGAAAGCGCTTGAAATGTCCACTTCCAGATACTACAGAATGAGTGTTTCAAACCTGCTCTATAAAAGTGAATGTTCAATTCTGTGACTTCAATGCAAACATCACAAAGGAGTTCCTGAGAATGCTTCTCTCTAGATTTTATATGTAATCCCGCTTCCAACGAAATCCTCAGAGCCATCAGAATATCCACTTTCTGATTCCACAAAAAGAGTGTTTTAAAACTGCTCTGTAGAAACAAAAGTTCAACTCTGTTAGTTGAATACACACATCACAAACAAGTTTCTGAGAATGCTTCTGTCTAGTTTTTATGGGAAGATATTTCCTTTTTCACCATAGGCCTCAAAGCGCTCGAAATGTCCACTTCCAGATAGTGCAGAAAGAGTGTTTCAAACGTGCTCTATAAAAGAGAATATTCAACTCTGTGACTTGAATGGAAACATCACAAAGCAGTTTCTGAGAATGCTTCCGTCTAGATTTTATATGAAGATATTCCCGTTTCCAACGAAATCTTCAAATCTATCTAAATATCAACTTGCAGATTCTACTAAAGGAATGTTTCCAAAATGCTGTATCCAAGCAATGGTTCAACTCCGTTAATTGAGGACATACAGCACAAAGAAGTTTCTGAGAATGCTTCTGTCTAGATTTTATATGAAGATATCCCGTTTGCAACGAAATCCTCAAAGGTATCCAAATATCCACTTGCAGATTCTACAAAAAGATTGTTTCAAAACTGCTGTGTCAAAAGGAAGGTTCAACTCTGTTACTTGAGTACACACATCAAAAAGAAGTTTCTGAGAATGCTTGTTTCTGGTTTTTATGAGAAGATATTTCCTTTTTCACCACAGGCCTCAAAGCGCTGCAAAGGTCCACTTCCAAATATTACAAAAAGAGTGTTTCAAACGTGCTCTATGAAAGGAAGTTTTCAACTCTATGAGTGGAATGCAAACATCACAGAGAAGTTTCTGAGAATGCATCTGTCTTGATCTTCTATGAAGAAATTCCCGTTTCCAACGAAATCTTAAAATCTATCCAAATATCCACCTGCAGATCCTACAAAAGGAGTGTTTCCAAAATGCTGTATCAAAACAAAGGTTCAACTGTGTTCGTTTAGGACACACATCACAAATAAGTTTCTGAGAATCCTTCTGTCCAGTTTTTATTTGAAGATATTTCCTTTCTCCCCATAGGCCTGAAAGCGCTTGAAATGTCCACTTCCAGATACTACAGAAAGAGTGTTTCAAACCTGCACTATGAAAAGGAATGTTCAATTCTGTGACTTGAATGCAAACATCAGAAAGAAGTTCCTGAGAATGCTTCTCTCTAGATTTTATACGTAATCCCGTTTCCAACGAAATCCACAAAGCTATCCAATTATCCACTTTCAGATTCCACAAAAAGAGTGTTTTAAAACTGCTGTGTAGAAAGAAATGTTCAACGCTCTTAGTTGAATACACACATCTCAAACAAGTTTCTGAGAAGGCTTCTGTCTAGTTTTTATGGGAAGATATTTCCTTTTAACCATAGGCCTCAAAGAGCTCGAAATATCCACTTCCAGGTAGTGCCGAAAGAGTGTTTCAAACCTACTCTATAAAAGGGAATATTCAACTCTGTGACTTGAATGCAAACATCACAAAGCAGTTTCTGAGAATGCTTCCGTCTAGATTTTCTATGAAGATATTCCCGTTTCCAACGAAATCTTCAAAGCTATCTAAATATCAACTTGCAGATTCTACTAAAGGAATGTCTCCAAAATGCTGTATCCAAACAAAGGTTCAGCTCTGTGAATTGAGGACATACAGCACAAAGAAGTTTCTGAGAATGCTCCTGTCTGGATTTTATAGGAAGATAACCCGTTTCCAACGAAATCCTCAAAGCTATCCAAATATCCACTTGCAGATTCTACCAAAAGAGTGTTTCAAAACTGCTCTGTCAAAAGGAAGGTTCAACACTGTTACTTGAGTACACACAACACAAAGAAGTTTCTGAGAATGCTTCTTTCTGGTTTTTATGAGAAGATATTTCCTTTTTCACCATAGGCCTCAAAGCGCTCGAAATGTCCGCTTCCAGGTAGTGCAGAAAGAGTGTTTCAAACCTGCTCTATGAAAGGAAGTGTTCAACTCTACTGAGTTGAATGCAAACATCACAGAGATGTTTCCGAGAATGCTTCTGTCTTGATTTTATATGAAGATATTCCGGTTTCCAACGAAATCTTCAAAGCTATCCAAATATCCACCTGCAGATTCTACAAAAGGAGTGTTTCCAAAATGCTGTATCAAAACAAAGGTTCAACTCTGTTAGTTGAGGACACACATCACAAATAAGTTTCTGAGAATGCTTCTGTCTAGTTTTTATTTGAAGGTATTTCCTTTCTCTCCATAGGCCTGAAAGCGCTTGAAATGCCCACTTCCAGATACTAGAGAAAGAGTGTTTCAAACCTGCTCTATGAAAGGGAATGTTCAATTCTGTGACTTGAATGCAAACATCACAAAGAAGTTCCTGAGAATGCTTCTCTCTAGATATTATATGTCATCCCGTTTCCAACGAAATCCTCAAAGCTATCCAAATATCCACTTGCAGATTCTACAAAAAGAGTGTTTCAAAACTGCTCTGTCAAAAGGATGGTTCAACACTGTTACATGAGTACACACAACACAAAGAAGTTTCTGAGAATGCTTCTTTCTGGTTTCTATGAGAAGATATTTCCTTTTTCACCATAGGACTCAAAGCGCTCGAAATGTCCTCTTCCAGGTAGTGCAGAAAGAGTGTTTCAAACCGGCTCTATGAAAGGAAGTGTTCAACTCCATGAACTGAATGCAAACATCACTGAGAAGTTTCTGAGAATGCTTCTGTTTGATTTTATATGAAGAAATTCCCGTTTCCAACGAAATCTTCAGAGCTATCCACATATCCACCTGCAGATTCTACAAAAGGAGTGTTTCCAAAATGCTGTATCAAAACCAAGGTTCAACTCTTGTTAGTTGAGGACACACATCACAAATAAGTTTCTGAGAATGCTTCTGTCTAGATTCTATATGAAGATATCCCCTTTCCAACGAATCCCTCTAAGCTATCCAAATATCCACCTGCAGATTCTACAAAAAGAGTGTTTCCAAAATGCTGTATCAAAACAAAGTTTCAACTCTGTTAGTTGAGGACACACATCACAAATAAGTTTGAGGATGCTTCTGTCTAGTTTTTATTCGAAGATATTTCCTTTCTCACCATAGGCCTGAAAGCGCTTGAAATGTCCACTTCCAGATACTACAGAATGAGTGTTTCAAACCTGCTCTATCAAAGTGAATGTTCAATTCTGTGACTTCAATGCAAACATCACAAAGAAGTTCCTGAGAATGCTTCTCTCTAGATTTTATATGTAATCCCGCTTCCAACGAAATCCTCAGAGCCATCCGAATATCCACTTTCTGATTCCACAAAAAGAGTGTTTTAAAACGGCTCTGTAAAAACAAAAGTTCAACTCTGTTAGTTGAATACACACATCACAAACAAGTTTCTGAGAATGCTTCTGTCTAGTTTTTATGGGAAGATATTTCCTTTTTCACCATAGGCCTCAAAGCGCTCGAAATGTCCACTTCCAGATAGTGCAGAAAGATTGTTTCAAACGTGCTCTATAAAAGGGAATATTCAACTCTGTGACTTGAATGGAAACATCATAAAGCAGTTTCTGAGAATGCTTCCCTCTAGATTTTATATGGAGATATTCCCTTTTCCAACGAAATCTTCAAATCTATCTAAATATCAACTTGCAGATTCTACTCAAGGAATGTTTCCAAAATGCTGTATCCAAGCAATGGTTCAACTCTGTTAATTGAGGACATACAGCACAAAGAAGTTTCTGAGAATGCTTCTGTCTAGATTTTATATGAAGATATCCCGTTTCCAACGAAATCCTCAAAGCTATCCAAATATCCACTTGCAGATTCTACAAAAAGATTGTTTCAAAACTGCTGTGTCAAAAGGAAGGTTCAACTCTGATATTTGAGTACACACATCAAAAAGAAGTTTCTGAGAATGCTTGTTTCTGGTTTTTATGAGAAGATATTTCCTTTTTCACCATAGGCCTCAAAGCGCTGCAAAGGTCCACTTCCAAATATTACAAAAAGAGTGTTTCAAACCTGCTCTATGAAAGGAAGTTTTCAACTCTATGAGTGGAATGCAAACATCACAGAGAAGTTTCTGAGAATGCATCTGTCTTGAGTTTCTATGCAGAAATTCCCGTTTCCAATGAAATCTTAAAATCTATCCAAATATCCACCTGCAGATCCTACAAAAGGAGTGTTTCCAAAATGCTGTATCAAAACAAAGGTTCAACTGTGTTCACTTAGGACACACATCACAAATAAGTTTCTGAGAATCCTTCTGTCTACTTTTTATTTGAAGATATTTCCTTTCTCCCCGTAGGCCTGAAAGCGCTTGAAATGTCCACTTCCAGATACTACAGAAAGAGTGTTTCAAACCTGCACTCTGAAAAGGAATGTCAATTCTGTGACTTGAATGCAAACATCAGAAAGAAGTTCCTGAGAATGCTTCTCTCTAGATTTTATACGTCATCCCGTTTCCAACGAAATCCACAAAGCTACCCAATTATCCACTTTCAGATTCCACAAAAAGAGTGTTTTAAAATTGCTCTGTAACAGAAATGTTCAACTCTGTTAGTTGAATACACACATCACAAACAAGTTTCTGAGACGGCTTCTGTCTAGTTTTTATGGGAAGATATTTCCTTTTAACCATAGGCCTCAAAGAGCTCGAAATATCCACTTCCAGGTAGTGCCGAAAGAGTGTTTCAAACCTACTCTATAAAAGGGAATATTCAACTCTGTGACTTGAATGCAAACATCACAAAGCAGTTTCTGAGAATGCTTCCGTCTAGATTTTCTATGAAGATATTCCCGTTTCCAACGAAATCTTCAAAGCTATCTAAATATCAACTTGCAGATTCTACTAAAGGAATGTCTCCAAAATGCTGTATCCAAACAAAGGTTCAGCTCTGTGAATTGAGGACATACAGCACAAAGAAGTTTCTGAGAATGCTCCTGTCTGGATTTTATATGAAGATAACCCGTTTCCAACGAAATCCTCAAAGCTATCCAAATATCCACTTGCAGATTCTACCAAAAGAGTGTTTCAAAACTGCTCTGTCAAAAGGAAGGTTCAACACTGTTACTTGAGTACACACAACACAAAGAAGTTTCTGAGAATGCTTCTTTCTGGTTTTTATGAGAAGATATTTCCTTTTTCACCATAGGCCTCAAAGCGCTCGAAATGTCCGCTTCCAGGTAGTGCAGAAAGAGTGTTTCAAACCTGCTCTATGAAAGGAAGTGTTCAACTCTACTGAGTTGAATGCAAACATCACAGAGATGTTTCCGAGAATGCTTCTGTCTTGATTTTATATGAAGATATTCCGGTTTCCAACGAAATCTTCAAAGCTATCCAAATATCCACCTGCAGATTCTACAAAAGGAGTGTTTCCAAAATGCTGTATCAAAACAAAGGTTCAACTCTGTTAGTTGAGGACACACATCACAAATAAGTTTCTGAGAATGCTTCTGTCTAGTTTTTATTTGAAGGTATTTCCTTTCTCTCCATAGGCCTCAAAGCGCTTGAAATGCCCACTTCCAGATACTAGAGAAAGAGTGTTTCAAACCTGCTCTATGAAAGGGAATGTTCAATTCTGTGACTTGAATGCAAACATCACAAAGAAGTTCCTGAGAATGCTTCTCTCTAGATATTATATGTCATCCCGTTTCCAACGAAATCCTCAAAGCTATCCAAATATCCACTTGCAGATTCTACAAAAAGAGTGTTTCAAAACTCCTCTGTCAAAAGGATGGTTCGACACTGTTACATGAGTACACACAACACAACGAAGTTTCTGAGAATGCTTCTTTCTGGTTTCTATGAGAAGATATTTCCTTTTTCACCATAAGACTCAAAGCGCTCGAAATGTCCTCTTCCAGGCAGTGCAGAAAGAGTGTTTCAAACCGGCTCTATGAAAGGAAGTGTTCAACTCCATGAACTGAATGCAAACATCACTGAGAAGTTTCTGAGAATGCTTCTGTTTGATTTTATATGAAGAAATTCCCGTTTCCATCGAAATCTTCAGAGCTATCCACATATCCACCTGCAGATTCTACAAAAGGAGTGTTTCCAAAATGCTGTATCAAAACCAAAGTTCAACTCTGTTAGTTGAGGACACACATCACAAATAAGTTTCTGAGAATGCTTCTGTCTAGATTCTATATGAAGATATCCCCTTTCCAACGAATCCCTCTAAGCTATCCAAATATCCACCTGCAGATTCTACAAAAAGAGTGTTTCCAAAATGCTGTATCAAAACAAAGTTTCAACTCTGTTAGTTGAGGACACACATCACAAATAAGTTTGAGGATGCTTCTGTCTAGTTTTTATTTGAAGATATTGCCTTTCTCACCATAGGCCTGAAAGCGCTTGAGATGTCCACTTCCAGATACTACAGAATGAGTGTTTCAAACCTGCTCTATCAAAGTGAATGTTCAATTCTGTGACTTCAATGCAAACATCACAAAGTAGTTCCTGAGAATGCTTCTCTATACATTTTATATGTAATCCCGCTTCCAACGAAATCCTCAAAGCCATCCGAATATCCACTTTCTGATTCCACAAAAAGATTGTTTTAAAACTGCTCTGTAAAAACAAAAGTTCAAGTCTGTTAGTTGAATACACACATCACAAACAAGTTTCTGAGAATGCTTCTGTCTAGTTTTTATGGGAAGATATTTCCTTTTTCACCGTAGGCCTCAAAGCGCTCGAAATGTCCACTTCCAGATAGTGCAGAAAGAGTGTTTCAAACGTGCTCTATAAAAGGGAATATTCAACTCTGTGACTTGAATGGAAACATCACAAAGCAGTTTCTGAGAATGCTTCCCTCTAGATTTTATATGGAGATATTCCCTTTTCCAACGAAATCTTCAAATCTATCTAAATATCAACTTGCAGATTCTACTCAAGGAATGTTTCCAAAATGCTGTATCCAAGCAATGGTTCAACTCTGTTAATTGAGGACATACAGCACAAAGAAGTTTCTGAGAATGCTTCTGTCTAGATTTTATATGAAGATATCCCGTTTCCAACGAAATCCTCAAAGCTATCCAAATATCCACTTGCAGATTCTACAAAAAGATTGTTTCAAAACTGCTGTGTCAAAAGGAAGGTTCAACACTGTTACTTGAGTACACACATCAAAAAGAAGTTTCTGAGAATGCTTGTTTCTGGTTTTATGAGAAGATATTTCCTTTTTCACCATAGGCCTCAAAGCGCTGCAAATGTCCACTTCCAAATATTACAAAAAGAGTGTTTCAAACCTGCTCTATGAAAGGAAGTTTTCAACTCTGTGAGTGGAATGCAAACATCACAGAGAAGCTTCTGAGAATGCATCTGTCTTGAGTTTCTATGAAGAAATTCCCGTTTCCAACGAAATCTTAAAATCTATCCAAATATCCACCTGCAGATTCTACAAAAGGAGTGTTTCCAAAACGCTGTATCAAAACAAAGGTTAAACTGTGTTCGTTTAGGACACACATCACAAATAAGTTTCTGATAATGCTTCTGTCTAGTTTTTATTTGAAGATATTTCCTTTCTCCCCGTAGGCCTGAAAGCACTTGAAATGTCCACTTCCAGATACTACAGAAAGAGTGTGTTTCAAACCTGCACTCTGAAAAGGAATGTTCAATTCTGTGACTTGAATGCAAACATCAGAAAGAAGTTCCTGAGAATGCTTCTCTCTAGATTTTATACGTCATCCCGTTTCCAACGAAATCCACAAAGCTATCCAATTATCCACTTTCAGATTCCACAAAAAGGGTGTTTTAAAATTGCTCTGTAACAGAAATGTTCAACTCTGGTAGTTGAATACACACATCACAAACAAGTTTCTGAGACGGCTTCTGTCTAGTTTTTATGGGAAGATATTTCCTTTTAACCATAGGCCTCAAAGAGCTCGAAATATCCACTTCCAGGTAGTGCCGAAAGAGTGTTTCAAACCTACTCTATAAAAGGGAATATTCAACTCTGTGACTTGAATGCAAACATCACAAAGCAGTTTCTGAGAATGCTTCCGTCTAGATTTTCTATGAAGATATTCCCGTTTCCAACGAAATCTTCAAAGCTATCTAAATATCAACTTGCAGATTCTACTAAAGGAATGTCTCCAAAATGCTGTATCCAAACAAAGGTTCAGCTCTGTGAATTGAGGACATACAGCACAAAGAAGTTTCTGAGAATGCTCCTGTCTGGATTTTATAGGAAGATAACCCGTTTCCAACGAAATCCTCAAAGCTATCCAAATATCCACTTGCAGATTCTACCAAAAGAGTGTTTCAAAACTGCTCTGTCAAAAGGAAGGTTCAACACTGTTACTTGAGTACACACAACACAAAGAAGTTTCTGAGAATGCTTCTTTCTGGTTTTTATGAGAAGACATTTCCTTTTTCACCATAGGCCTCAAAGCGCTCGAAATGTCCGCTTCCAGGTAGTGCAGAAAGAGTGTTTCAAACCTGCTCTATGAAAGGAAGTGTTCAACTCTACTGAGTTGAATGCAAACATCACAGAGATGTTTCCGAGAATGCTTCTGTCTTGATTTTATATGAAGATATTCCGGTTTCCAACGAAATCTTCAAAGCTATCCAAATATCCACCTGCAGATTCTACAAAAGGAGTGTTTCCAAAATGCTGTATCAAAACAAAGGTTCAACTCTGTTAGTTGAGGACACACATCACAAATAAGTTTCTGAGAATGCTTCTGTCTAGTTTTTATTTGAAGGTATTTCCTTTCTCTCCATAGGCCTGAAAGCGCTTGAAATGCCCACTTCCAGATACTAGAGAAAGAGTGTTTCAAACCTGCTCTATGAAAGGGAATGTTCAATTCTGTGACTTGAATGCAAACATCACAAAGAAGTTCCTGAGAATGCTTCTCTCTAGATATTATATGTCATCCCGTTTCCAACGAAATCCTCAAAGCTATCCAAATATCCACTTGCAGATTCTACAAAAAGAGTGTTTCAAAACTGCTCTGTCAAAAGGATGGTTCAACACTGTTACATGAGTACACACAACACAAAGAAGTTTCTGAGAATGCTTCTTTCTGGTTTTTATGAGAAGATATTTCCTTTTTCACCATAGGCCTCAAAGCTCTCGAAATGTCCACTTCCTGGTAGTGCAGAAAGAGTGTTTCAAAGCTGCTCTATGAAAGGAAGTGTTCAACTCCATGAGCTGAATGCAAACATCACAGAGAAGTTTCTGAGAATGCTTCTGTTTGATTTTATATGAAGAAATTCCCGTTTCCAACGAAATCTTCAGAGCTATCCACCTATCCACCTGCAGATTCTACAAAAGGAGTGTTTCCAAAATGCTGTATCAAAACCAAGGTTCAACTCTGTTAGTTGAGGACACACATCACAAATAAGTTTCTGAGAATGCTTCTGTCTAGATTTTATATGAAGATATCCCCTTTCCAACGAATCCCTCTAAGCTATCCAAATATCCACCTGCAGATTCTACAAAAAGAGTGTTTCCAAAATGCTGTATCAAAACAAAGTTTCAAGTCTGTTAGTTGAGGACACACATCACAAATAAGTTTGAGGATGCTTCTGTCTAGTTTTTATTCGAAGATATTTCCTTTCTCACCATAGGCCTGAAAGCGCTTGAAATGTCCACTTCCAGATACTACAGAATGAGTGTTTCAAACCTGCTCTATCAAAGTGAATGTTCAATTCTGTGACTTCAATGCAAACATCAGAAAGAAGTTTCTGAGAATGCTTCTCTCTAGATTTTATACGTAATCCCGCTTCCAACGAAATCCTCAGAGCCATCCGAATATCCACTTTCTGATTCCACAAAAAGAGTGTTTTAAAACGGCTCTGTAAAAACAAAAGTTCAACTCTGTTAGTTGAATACACACATCACAAACAAGTTTCTGAGAATGCTTCTGTCTAGTTTTTATGGGAAGATATTTCCTTTTTCACCATAGGCCTCAAAGCGCTCGAAATGTCCGCTTCCAGATAGTGCAGAAAGAGTGTTTCAAACGTGCTCTATAAAAGGGAATATTCAACTCTGTGACTTGAATGGAAACATCACAAAGCAGTTTCTGAGAATGCTTCCCTCTAGATTTTATATGGAGATATTCCCTTTTCCAACGAAATCTTCAAATCTATCTAAATATCAACTTGCAGATTCTACTCAAGGAATGTTTCCAAAATGCTGTATGCAAGCAATGGTTCAACTCTGTTAATTGAGGTCATACAGCACAAAGAAGTTTCTGAGAATGCTTCTGTCTAGATTTTATATGAAGATATCCCGTTTCCAACGAAATCCTCAAAGCTATCCAAATATCCACTTGCAGATTCTACAAAAAGATTGTTTCAAAACTGCTGTGTCAAAAGGAAGGTTCAACTCTGTTACTTGAGTACACACATCAAAAAGAAGTTTCTGAGAATGCTTGTTTCTGGTTTTTATGAGAAGATATTTCCTTTTTCACCATAGGCCTCACAGTGCTGCAAATGTCCACTTCCAAATATTACAAAAAGAGTGTTTCAAACCTGCTCTATGAAAGGAAGTTTTCAACTCTATGAGTGGAATGCAAACATCACAGAGAAGTTTCTGAGAATGCATCTGTCTTGAGTTTATATGCAGAAATTCCCGTTTCCAACGAAATCTTAAAATCTATCCAAATATCCACCTGCAGATCCTACAAAAGGAGTGTTTCCAAAATGCTGTATCAAAACAAAGGTTCAACTGTGTTCGTTTAGGACACACATCACAAATAAGTTTCTGAGAATCCTTCTGTCTAGTTTTTAATTTGAAGATATTTCCTTTCTCCCCATAGGCCTGAAAGCGCTTGAAATGTCCACTTCCAGATAGTACAGAAAGAGTGTTTCAAACCTGCACTATGAAAAGGAATGTTCAATTCTGTGACTTGAATGCAAACATCAGTAAGAAGTTTCTGAGAATGCTTTCTCTCTAGAATTTTATACGTCATCCCGTTTCCAACGAAATCCACAAAGCTATCCAATTATCCACTTTCAGATTCCACAGAAAGAGTGTTTTAAAATTGCTCTGTAACAGAAATGTTCAACTCTGGTAGTTGAATACACACATCACAAACAAGTTTCTGAGACGGCTTCTGTCTAGTTTTTATGGGAAGATATTTCCTTTTAACCATAGGCCTCAAAGAGCTCGAAATATCCACTTCCAGGTAGTGCCGAAAGAGTGTTTCAAACCTACTCTATAAAAGGGAATATTCAACTCTGTGACTTGAATGCAAACATCACAAAGCAGTTTCTGAGAATGCTTCCGTCTAGATTTTCTATGAAGATATTCCCGTTTCCAACGAAATCTTCAAAGCTATCTAAATATCAACTTGCAGATTCTACTAAAGGAATGTCTCCAAAATGCTGTATCCAAACAAAGGTTCAGCTCTGTGAATTGAGGACATACAGCACAAAGAAGTTTCTGAGAATGCTCCTGTCTGGATTTTATATGAAGATAACCCGTTTCCAACGAAATCCTCAAAGCTATCCAAATATCCACTTGCAGATTCTACCAAAAGAGTGTTTCAAAACTGCTCTGTCAAAAGGAAGGTTCAACACTGTTACTTGAGTACACACAACACAAAGAAGTTTCTGAGAATGCTTCTTTCTGGTTTTTATGAGAAGATATTTCCTTTTTCACCATAGGCCTCAAAGCGCTCGAAATGTCCGCTTCCAGGTAGTGCAGAAAGAGTGTTTCAAACCTGCTCTATGAAAGGAAGTGTTCAACTCTACTGAGTTGAATGCAAACATCACAGAGATGTTTCCGAGAATGCTTCTGTCTTGATTTTATATGAAGATATTCCGGTTTCCAACGAAATCTTCAAAGCTATCCAAATATCCACCTGCAGATTCTACAAAAGGAGTGTTTCCAAAATGCTGTATCAAAACAAAGGTTCAACTCTGTTAGTTGAGGACACACATCACAAATAAGTTTCTGAGAATGCTTCTGTCTAGTTTTTATTTGAAGGTATTTCCTTTCTCTCCATAGGCCTGAAAGCGCTTGAAATGCCCACTTCCAGATACTAGAGAAAGAGTGTTTCAAACCTGCTCTATGAAAGGGAATGTTCAATTCTGTGACTTGAATGCAAACATCACAAAGAAGTTCCTGAGAATGCTTCTCTCTAGATATTATATGTCATCCCGTTTCCAACGAAATCCTCAAAGCTATCCAAATATCCACTTGCAGATTCTACAAAAAGAGTGTTTCAAAACTGCTCTGTCAAAAGGATGGTTCAACACTGTTACATGAGTACACACAACACAAAGAAGTTTCTGAGAATGCTTCTTTCTGGTTTCTATGAGAAGATATTTCCTTTTTCACCATAGGACTCAAAGCGCTCGAAATGTCCTCTTCCAGGTAGTGCAGAAAGAGTGTTTCAAACCGGCTCTATGAAGGGAAGTGTTCAACTCCATGAACTGAATGCAAACATCACTGAGAAGTTTCTGAGAATGCTTCTGTTTGATTTCATATGAAGAAATTCCCGTTTCCAACGAAATCTTCAGAGCTATCCACATATCCACCTGCAGATTCTACAAAAGGAGTGTTTCCAAAATGCTGTATCAAAACCAAGGTTCAACTCTGTTAGTTGAGGACACACATCACAAATAAGTTTCTGAGAATGCTTCTGTCTAGATTTTATATGAAGATATCCCCTTTCCAACGAATCCCTCTAAGCTATCCAAATATCCACCTGCAGATTCTACAAAAAGAGTGTTTCCAAAATGCTGTATCAAAACAAAGTTTCAACTCTGTTAGTTGAGGACACACATCACAAATAAGTTTCTGAGGATGCTTCTGTCTAGTTTTTATTCGAAGATATTTCCTTTCTCACCATAGGCCTGAAAGCGCTTGAAATGTCCACTTCCAGATCCTACAGAATGAGTGTTTCAAACCTGCTCTATCAAAGTGAATGTTCAATTCTGTGACTTCAATGCAAACATCACAAAGAAGTTCCTGAGAATGCTTCTCTCTAGATTTTATATGTAATCCCGCTTCCAACGAAATCCTCAGAGCCATCCGAATATCCACTTTCTGATTCCACAAAAAGAGTGTTTTAAAACGGCTCTGTAAAAACAAAAGTTCAACTCTGTTAGTTGAATACACACATCACAAACAAGTTTCTGAGAATGCTTCTGTCTAGTTTTTATGGGAAGATATTTCCTTTTTCACCATAGGCCTCAAAGCGCTCGAAATGTCCACTTCCAGATAGTGCAGAAAGAGTGTTTCAAACGTGCTCTATAAAAGGGAATATTCAACTCTGTGACTTGAATGGAAACATCACAAAGCAGTTTCTGAGAATGCTTCCCTCTAGATTTTATATGGAGATATTCCCTTTTCCAACGAAATCTTCAAATCTATCTAAATATCAACTTGCAGATTCTACTCAAGGAATGTTTCCAAAATGCTGTATCCAAGCAATGGTTGAACTCTGTTAATTGAGGACATACAGCACAAAGAAGTTTCTGAGAATGCTTCTGTCTAGATTTTATATGAAGATATCCCGTTTCCAACGAAATCCTCAAAGCTATCCAAATATCCACTTGCAGATTCTACAAAAAGATTGTTTCAAAACTGCTGTGTCAAAAGGAAGGTTCAACTCTGTTACTTGAGTACACACATCAAAAAGAAGTTTCTGAGAATGCTTGTTTCTGGTTTTTATGAGAAGATATTTCCTTTTTCACCATAGGCCTCAAAGCGCTGCAAATGTCCACTTCCACATATTACAAAAAGAGTGTTTCAAACCTGCTCTATGAAAGGAAGTTTTCAACTCTATGAGTGGAATGCAAACATCACAGAGAAGTTTCTGAGAATGCATCTGTCTTGAGCTTCTATGAAGAAATTCCCGTTTCCAACGAAATCTTAAAATCTATCCAAATATCCACCTGCAGATCCTACAAAAGGAGTGTTTCCAAAATGCTGTATCAAAACAAAGGTTCAACTGTGTTCGTTTAGGACACACATCACAAATAAGTTTCTGAGAATCCTTCTCTCTAGTTTTTATTTGAAGATATTTCCTTTCTCCCCGTAGGCCTGAAAGCGCTTGAAATGTCCACTTCCAGATACTACAGAAAGAGTGTTTCAAACCTGCACTCTGAAAAGGAATGTTCAATTCTGTGACTTGAATGCAAACATCAGAAAGAAGTTCCTGAGAATGCTTCTCTCTAGATTTTATACGTCATCCCGTTTCCAACGAAATCCACAAAGCTATCCAATTATCCACTTTCAGATTCCACAAAAAGAGTGTTTTAAATTGCTCTGTAACAGAAATGTTCAACTCTGTTAGTTGAATACACACATCACAAACAAGTTTCTGAGACGGCTTCTGTCTAGTTTTTATGGGAAGATATTTCCTTTTAACCATAGGCCTCAAAGAGCTCGAAATATCCACTTCCAGGTAGTGCCGAAAGAGTGTTTCAAACCTACTCTATAAAAGGGAATATTCAACTCTGTGACTTGAATGCAAACATCACAAAGCAGTTTCTGAGAATGCTTCCGTCTAGATTTTCTATGAAGATATTCCCGTTTCCAACGAAATCTTCAAAGCTATCTAAATATCAACTTGCAGATTCTACTAAAGGAATGTCTCCAAAATGCTGTATCCAAACAAAGGTTCAGCTCTGTGAATTGAGGACATACAGCACAAAGAAGTTTCTGAGAATGCTCCTGTCTGGATTTTATATGAAGATAACCCGTTTCCAACGAAATCCTCAAAGCTCTCCAAATATCCAATTGCAGATTCTACCAGAAGAGTGTTTCAAAACTGCTGTGTCAAAAATAAGGTTCAACTCTGTTACTTGAGTACACACATCAAAAATAACTTTCTGAGAATGCTTCTTTCTGGTTTTTATGAGAAGATATTTCCTTTTTCACCATAGGCCTCAAAGCGCCCGAAATGTCCGCTTCCAGGTAGGGCAGAAAGAGTGTTTCAAACCTGCTCTATGAAAGGAAGTGTTCAACTCTACTGAGTTGAATGCAAACATCACAGAGATGTTTCCGAGAATGCTTCTGTCTTGATTTTATAGGAAGATATTCCGGTTTCCAACGAAATCTTCAAAGCTATCCAAATATCCACCTGCAGATTCTACAAAAGGAGTGTTTCCAAAATGCTGTATCAAAACAAAGGTTCAACTCTGTTAGTTGAGGACACACATCACAAATAAGTTTCTGAGAATGCTTCTGTCTAGTTTTTATTTGAAGGTATTTCCTTTCTCTCCATAGGCCTGAAAGCGCTTGAAATGCCCACTTCCAGATACTAGAGAAAGAGTGTTTCAAACCTGCTCTATGAAAGGGAATGTTCAATTCTGTGACTTGAATGCAAACATCACAAAGAAGTTCCTGAGAATGCTTCTCTCTAGATATTATATGTCATCCCGTTTCCAACGAAATCCTCAAAGCTATCCAAATATCCATTTGCAGATTCTACAAAAAGAGTGTTTCAAAACTGCTCTGTCAAAAGGATGGTTCAACACTGTTACATGAGTACACACAACACAAAGAAGTTTCTGAGAATGCTTCTTTCTGGTTTCTATGAGAAGATATTTCCTTTTTCACCATAGGACTCAAAGCGCTCGAAATGTCCTCTTCCAGGTAGTGCAGAAAGAGTGTTTCAAACCGGCTCTATGAAGGGAAGTGTTCAACTCCATGAACTGAATGCAAACATCACTGAGAAGTTTCTGAGAATGCTTCTGTTTGATTTTATATGAAGAAATTCCCGTTTCCAACGAAATCTTCAAAGCTATCCACATATCCACCTGCAGATTCTACAAAAGGAGTGTTTCCAAAATGCTGTATCAAAACTAAGGTTCCACTCTGTTAGTTGAGGACACACATCACAAATAAGTTTCTGAGAATGCTTCTGTCTAGATTTCATATGAAGATATCCCCTTTCCAACGGATCCCTCTAAGCTATCCAAACATCCACCTGCAGATTCTACAAAAAGAGTGTTTCCAAAATGCTGTAGCAAAACAAAGTTTCAACTCTGTTAGTTGAGGACACACATCACAAATAAGTTTCTGAGGATGCTTCTGTCTAGTTTTTATTCGAAGATATTTCCTTTCTCACCATAGGCCTGAAAGCGCTTGAAATGTCCACTTCCAGATACTACAGAATGAGTGTTTCAAACCTGCTCTATAAAAGTGAATGTTCAATTCCGTGACTTCAAAGCAAACATCAGAAAGAAGTTCCTGAGAATGCTTGTCTCTAGATTTTATACGTAATCCCGCTTCCAACGAAATCCTCAGAGCCATCCGAATATCCACTTTCTGATTCCACAAAAAGAGTGTTTTAAAACGGCTCTGTAAAAACAAAAGTTCAACTCTGTTAGTTGAATACACACATCACAAACAAGTTTCTGAGAATGCTTCTGTCTAGTTTTTATGGGAAGATATTTCCTTTTTCACCATAGGCCTCACAGCGATCGAAATGTCCACTTCCAGATAGTGCAGAAAGAGTGTTTCAAACGTGCTCTATAAAAGAGAATATTCAACTCTGTGACTTGAATGGAAACATCACAAAGCAGTTTCTGAGAATGCCTCCCTCTAGATTTTATATGGAGATATTCCGTTTTCGAACGAAATCTTCAAATCTATCTAAATATCAACTTGCAGATTCTACTCAAGGAATGTTTCCAAAATGCTGTATGCAAGCAATGGTTCAACTCTGTTAATTGAGGACATACAGCACAAAGAAGTTTCTGAGAATGCTTCTGTCTAGATTTTATATGAAGATATCCCGTTTCCAACGAAATCCTCAAAGCTATCCAAATATCCACTTGCAGATTCTACAAAAAGATTGTTTCAAAACTGCTGTGTCAAAAGGAAGGTTCAACTCTGTTACTTGAGTACACACATCAAAAAGAAGTTTCTGAGAATGCTTGTTTCTGGTTTTTATGAGAAGATATTTCCTTTTTCACCATAGGCCTCAAAGCGCTGCAAAGGTCCACTTCCAAATATTACAAAAAGAGTGTTTCAAACCTGCTCTATGAAAGGAAGTTTTCAACTCTATGAGTGGAATGCAAACATCACAGAGAAGTTTCTGAGAATGCATCTGTCTTGAGCTTCTATGAAGAAATTCCCGTTTCCAACGAAATCTTAAAATCTATCCAAATATCCACCTGCAGATCCTACAAAAGGAGTGTTTCCAAAATGCTGTATCAAAACAAAGGTTCAACTGTGTTCGTTTAGGACACACATCACAAATAAGTTTCTGAGAATCCTTCTGTCTAGTTTTTATTTGAAGATCTTTCCTTTCTCCCCATAGGCCTGAAAGCGCTTGAAATGTCCACTTCCAGATACTACAGAAAGAGTGTTTCAAACCTGCACTATGAAAAGGAATGTTCAGTTCTGTGACTTGAATGCAAACCTCAGAAAGAAGTTCCTGAGAATGCTTCTCTCTAGATTTTATACGTAATCCCGTTTCCAACGAAATCCGCAAAGCTATCCAATTATCCACTTTCAGATTCCACAAAAAGAGTGTTTTAAAACTGCTCTCTAAAAAGAAATGTTCAACGCTCTTAGTTGAATACACACATCTCAAACAAGTTTCTGAGAAGGCTTCTGTCTAGTTTTTATGGGAAGATATTTCCTTTTAACCATAGGCCTCAAAGAGCTCGAAATATCCACTTCCAGGTAGTGCCGAAAGAGTGTTTCAAACCTACTCTATAAAAGGGAATATTCAACTCTGTGACTTGAATGCAAACATCACAAAGCAGTTTCTGAGAATGCTTCCGTCTAGATTTTATATGAAGATATTCCCGTTTCCAACGAAATCTTCAAAGCTATCTAAATATCAACTTGCAGATACTACTAATGGAATGTTTCCAAAATGCTGTACCCAAGCAATGGTTCAACTCTGTTAATTGAGGACATAGAGCACAAAGAAGTTTCTGAGAATGCTCCTGTCTGGATTTTATAGGAAGATAACCCGTTTCCAACGAAATCCTCAAAGCTATCCAAATATCCACTTGCAGATTCTACCAAAAGAGTGTTTCAAAACTGCTCTGTCAAAAGGAAGGTTCAACACTGTTACTTGAGTACACACAACACAATGAAGTTTCTGAGAATGCTTCTTTCTGGTTTTTATGAGAAGATATTTCCTTTTTCACCATAGGCCTCAAAGCGCTCGAAATGTCCGCTTCCAGGTAGTGCAGAAAGAGTGTTTCAAACCTGCTCTATGAAAGGAAGTGTTCAACTCTACTGAGTTGAATGCAAACATCACAGAGATGTTTCCGAGAATGCTTCTGTCTTGATTTTATATGAAGATATTCCGGTTTCCAACGAAATCTTCAAAGCTATCCAAATATCCACCTGCAGATTCTACAAAAGGAGTGTTTCCAAAATGCTGTATCAAAACAAAGGTTCAACTCTGTTAGTTGAGGACACACATCACAAATAAGTTTCTGAGAATGCTTCTGTCTAGTTTTTATTTGAAGGTATTTCCTTTCTCTCCATAGGCCTGAAAGCGCTTGAAATGCCCACTTCCAGATACTAGAGAAAGAGTGTTTCAAACCTGCTCTATGAAAGGGAATGTTCAATTCTGTGACTTCAATGCAAACATCACAAAGAAGTTCCTGAGAATGCTTCTCTCTAGATTTTATACGTAATCCCGCTTCCAACGAAATCCTCAGAGCCATCCGAATATCCACTTTCTGATTCCACAAAAAGAGTGTTTTAAAACGGCTCTGTAAAAACAAAAGTTCAACTCTGTTAGTTGAATACACACATCACAAACAAGTTTCTGAGAATGCTTCTGTCTAGTTTTTATGGGAAGATATTTCCTTTTTCACCATAGGCCTCAAAGCGCTCGAAATGTCCACTTCCAGATAGTGCAGAAAGAGTGTTTCAAACGTGCTCTATAAAAGAGAATATTCAACTCCGTAACTTGAATGGAAACATCACAAAGCAGTTTCTCAGAATGCTTCCTTCTAGACTTTATATGAAGATATTCCCGTTTCCAACGAAATCTTCAAAGCTATCTACATATCAACTTGCAGATTCTACTAAAGGAATGTTTCCAAAATGTTGTATCCAAGCAATGGTTCAACTCTGTTAATTGAGGACATAGAGCACAAAGAAGTTTCTGAGAATGCTCCTGTCTGTATTTTATATGAAGATATCCCGTTTCCAACGAACTCCTCAAAGCTATCCAAATATCCACTTGCAGATTCTACAAAAAGATTGTTTCAAAACTGCTGTGTCAATAGGAAGGTTCAACTCTGTTACTTGAGTACACACATCAAAAAGAAGTTTCTGAGAATGCTCGTTTCTGGTTTTTATGAGAAGATATTTCCTTTTTCACCATAGGCCTCAAAGCGCTGCAAATGTCCACTTCCAAATATTACAGAAAGAGTGTTTCAAACCTGCTCTATGAAAGGAAGTTTTCAACTCTATGAGTGGAATGCAAACATCACAGAGAAGTTTCTGAGAATGCACCTGTCTTGAGCTTCTATGAAGAAATTCCCGTTTCCAACGAAATCTTAAAATCTATCCAAATATCCACCTGCAGATCCTACAAAAGGAGTGTTTCCAAAATGCTGTATCAAAACAAAGGTTCAACTGTGTTCGTTTAGGACACACATCACAAATAAGTTTCTGAGAATCCTTCTCTCTAGTTTTTATTTGAAGATATTTCCTTTCTCCCCGTAGGCCTGAAAGCGCTTGAAATGTCCACTTCCAGATACTACAGAAAGAGTGTTTCAAACCTGCACTCTGAAAAGGAATGTTCAATTCTGTGACTTGAATGCAAACATCAGAAAGAAGTTCCTGAGAATGCTTCTCTCTAGATTTTATACGTCATCCCGTTTCCAACGAAATCCACAAAGCTATCCAATTATCCACTTTCAGATTCCACAAAAAGAGTGTTTTAAAATTGCTCTGTAACAGAAATGTTCAACTCTGTTAGTTGAATACACACATCACAAACAAGTTTCTGAGACGGCTTCTGTCTAGTTTTTATGGGAAGATATTTCCTTTTAACCATAGGCCTCAAAGAGCTCGAAATATCCACTTCCAGGTAGTGCCGAAAGAGTGTTTCAAACCTACTGTATAAAAGGGAATATTCAACTCTGTGACTTGAATGCAAACATCACAAAGCAGTTTCTGAGAATGCTTCCGTCTAGATTTTCTATGAAGATATTCCCGTTTCCAACGAAATCTTCAAAGCTATCTAAATATCAACTTGCAGATTCTACTAAAGGAATGTCTCCAAAATGCTGTATCCAAACAAAGGTTCAGCTCTGTGAATTGAGGACATACAGCACAAAGAAGTTTCTGAGAATGCTCCTGTCTGGATTTTATAGGAAGATAACCCGTTTCCAACGAAATCCTCAAAGCTATCCAAATATCCACTTGCAGATTCTACCAAAAGAGTGTTTCAAAACTACTCTGTCAAAAGGAAGGTTCAACACTGTTACTTGAGTACACACAACACAAAGAAGTTTCTGAGAATGCTTCTTTCTGGTTTTTATGAGAAGATATTTCCTTTTTCACCATAGGCCTCAAAGCGCTCGAAATGTCCGCTTCCAGGTAGTGCAGAAAGAGTGTTTCAAACCTGCTCTATGAAAGGAAGTGTTCAACTCTACTGAGTTGAATGCAAACATCACAGAGATGTTTCCGAGAATGCTTCTGTCTTGATTTTATATGAAGATATTCCGGTTTCCAACGAAATCTTCAAAGCTATCCAAATATCCACCTGCAGATTCTACAAAAGGAGTGTTTCCAAAATGCTGTATCAAAACAAAGGTTCAACTCTGTTAGTTGAGGACACACATCACAAATAAGTTTCTGAGAATGCTTCTGTCTAGTTTTTATTTGAAGGTATTTCCTTTCTCTCCATAGGCCTGAAAGCGCTTGAAATGCCCACTTCCAGATACTAGAGAAAGAGTGTTTCAAACCTGCTCTATGAAAGGGAATGTTCAATTCTGTGACTTGAATGCAAACATCACAAAGAAGTTCCTGAGAATGCTTCTCTCTAGATATTATATGTCATCCCGTTTCCAACGAAATCCTCAAAGCTATCCAAATATCCACTTGCAGATTCTACAAAAAGAGTGTTTCAAAACTCCTCTGTCAAAAGGATGGTTCAACACTGTTACATGAGTACACACAACACAAAGAAGTTTCTGAGAATGCTTCTTTCTGGTTTTTATGAGAAGATATATCCTTTTTCACCATAGGACTCAAAGCGCTCGAAATGTCCACTTCCTGGTAGTGCAGAAAGAGTGTTTCAAACCTGCTCTATGAAAGGAAGTGTTCAACTCCATGGGCTGAATGCAAACATCACAGAGTAGTTTCTGAGAATGCTTCTGTTTGATTTTATATGAAGAAATTCCCGTTTCCAACGAAATCTTCAGAGCTATCCACATATCCACCTGCAGATTCTACAAAAGGACTGTTTCCAAAATGCTGTATCAAAACCAAGGTTCAACTCTGTTAGTTGAGGACACACATCACAAATAAGTTTCTGAGAATGCTTCTGTCTAGATTTTATATGAAGATATCCCCTTTCCAACGAATCCCTCTAAGCTATCCAAATAGCCACCTGCAGATTCTACGAAAGGAGTGTTTCCAAAATGCTGTATCAAAACAAAGTTTCAACTCTGTTAGTTGAGGACACACATCACAAATACGTTTCTGAGGATGCCTCTGTCTAGTTTTTATTCGAAGATATTTCCTTTCTCACCATAGGCCTGAAAGCGCTTGAAATGTCCACTTCCAGATCCTACAGAATGAGTGTTTCAAACCTGCTCTATCAAAGTGAATGTTCAATTCTGTGACTTCAATGCAAACATCACAAAGAAGTTCCTGAGAATGCTTCTCTCTAGATTTTATATGTAATCCCGCTTCCAACGAAATCCTCAGAGCCATCCGAATATCCACTTTCTGATTCCACAAAAAGAGTGTTTTAAAACGGCTCTGTAAAAACAAAAGTTCAACTCTGTTAGTTGAATACACACATCACAAACAAGTTTCTGAGAATGCTTCTGTCTAGTTTTTATGGGAAGATATTTCCTTTTTCACCATAGGCCTCAAAGCGCTCGAAATGTCCACTTCCAGATAGTGCAGAAAGAGTGTTTCAAACGTGCTCTATAAAAGGGAATATTCAACTCTGTGACTTGAATGGAAACATCACAAAGCAGTTTCTGAGAATGATTCCCTCTAGATTTTATATGGAGATATTCCCTTTTCCAACGAAATCTTCAAATCTATCTAAATATCAACTTGCAGATTCTACTCAAGGAATGTTTCCAAAATGCTGTATCCAAGCAATGGTTCAACTCTGTTAATTGAGGACATACAGCACAAAGAAGTTTCTGAGAATGCTTCTGTCTAGATTTTATATGAAGATATCCCGTTTCCAACGAAATCCTCAAAGCTATCCAAATATCCACTTGCAGATTCTACAAAAAGATTGTTTCAAAACTGCTGTGTCAAAAGGAAGGTTCAACTCTGTTACTTGAGTACACACATCAAAAAGAAGTTTCTGAGAATGCTTGTTTCTGGTTTTTATGAGAAGATATTTCCTTTTTCACCATAGGCCTCAAAGCGCTGCAAATGTCCACTTCCAAATATTACAAAAAGAGTGTTTCAAACCTGCTCTATGAAAGGAAGTTTTCAACTCTATGAGTGGAATGCAAACATCACAGAGAAGTTCATGAGAATGCATCTGTCTTGAGTTTATATGAAGAAATTCCCGTTTCCAACGAAATCTTAAAATCTATCCAAATATCCACCTGCAGATTCTACAAAAGGAGTGTTTCCAAAATGCTGTATCAAAACAAAGGTTCAACTGTGTTCGTTTAGGACACACATCACAAATAAGTTTCTGAGAATCCTTCTGTCTAGTTTTTATTTGAAGATATTTCCTTTCTCCCCGTAGGCCTGAAAGCGCTTGAAATGTCCACTTCCAGATACTACAGAAAGAGTGTTTCAAACCTGCACTATGAAAAGGAATGTTCAATTCTGTGACTTGAATGCAAACATCAGAAAGAAGTTCCTGAGAATGCTTCTCTCTAGATTTTATACGTCATCCCGTTTCCAACGAAATCCACAAAGCTATCCAATTATCCACTTTCAGATTCCACAAAAAGAGTGTTTTAAAATTGCTCTGTAACAGAAATGTTCAACTCTGTTAGATGAATACACACATCACAAACAAGTTTCTGAGACGGCTTCTGTCTAGTTTTTATGGGAAGATATTTCCTTTTAACCATAGGCCTCAAAAAGCTCGAAATATCCACTTCCAGGTAGTGCCGAAAGAGTGTTTCAAACCTACTCTATAAAAGGGAATATTCAACTCTGTGACTTGAATGCAAACATCACAAAGCAGTTTCTGAGAATGCTTCCGTCTAGATTTTCTATGAAGATATTCCCGTTTCCAATGAAATCTTCAAAGCTATCTAAATATCAACTTGCAGATTCTACTAAAGGAATGTCTCCAAAATGCTGTATCCAAACAAAGGTTCAGCTCTGTGAATTGCGGACATACAGCACAAAGAAGTTTCTGAGAATGCTCCTGTCTGGATTTTATATGAGGATAACCCGTTTCCAACGAAATCCTCAAAGCTCTCCAAATATCCACTTGCAGATTCTACCAAAAGAGTGTTTCAAAACTGCTCTGTGAAAAGGAAGGTTCAACACTGTTACTTGAGTACACACAACACAAAGAAGTTTCTGAGAATGCTTCTTTCTGGTTTTTATGAGAAGATATTTCCTTTTTCACCATAGGCCTCAAAGCGCTCGAAATGTCCGCTTCCAGGTAGTGCAGAAAGAGTGTTTCAAACCTGCTCTATGAAAGGGAAGTGTTCAACTCTACTGAGTTGAATGCAAACATCACAGAGATGTTTCCGAGAATGCTTCTGTCTTGATTTTATATGAAGATATTCCGGTTTCCAACGAAATCTTCAAAGCTATCCAAATATCCACCTGCAGATTCTACAAAAGGAGTGTTTCCAAAATGCTGTATCAAAACAAAGGTTCAACTCTGTTAGTTGAGGACACACATCACAAATAAGTTTCTGAGAATGCTTCTGTCTAGTTTTTATTTGAAGGTATTTCCTTTCTCTCCATAGGCCTGAAAGCACTTGAAATGCCCACTTCCAGATACTAGAGAAAGAGTGTTTCAAACCTGCTCTATGAAAGGGAATGTTCAATTCTGTGACTTGAATGCAAACATCACAAAGAAGTTCCTGAGAATGCTTCTCTCTAGATATTATATGTCATCCCGTTTCCAACGAAATCCTCAAAGCTATCCAAATATCCACTTGCAGATTCTACAAAAAGAGTGTTTCAAAACTCCTCTGTCAAAAGGATGGTTCAACACTGTTACATGAGTACACACAACACAAAGAAGTTTCTGAGAATGCTTCTTTCTGGTTTCTATGAGAAGATATTTCCTTTTTCACCATAGGACTCAAAGCGCTCGAAATGTCCTCTTCCAGGTAGTGCAGAAAGAGTTTTTCAAACCTGCTCTATGAAAGGAAGTGTACAACTCCTTGAGCTGAATGCAAACATCACTGATAAGTTTCTGAGAATGCTTCTGTTTGATTTTATATGAAGAAATTCCCGTTTCCAACGAAATCTTCAAAGCTATCCACATATCCACCTGCAGATGCTACAAAAGGAGTGTTTCCAAAATGCTGTATCAAAACCAAGGTTCAACTCTGTTAGTTGAGGACACACATCACAAATAAGTTTCTGAGAATGCTTCTGTCTAGATTTTATATGAAGATATCCCCTTTCCAACGAATCCCTCTAAGCTATCCAAATATCCACCTGCAGATTCTACAAAAAGAGTGTTTCCAAAATGCTGTATCAAAACAAAGTTTCAACTCTGTTAGTTGAGGACACACATCACAAATAAGTTTGAGGATGCTTCTGTCTAGTTTTTATTTGAAGGTATTTCCTTTCTCACCATAGGCCTGAAAGCGCTTGAAATGTCCACTTCCAGATACTACAGAATGAGTGTTTCAAACCTGCTCTATAAAAGTGAATGTTCAATTCTGTGACTTCAATGCAAACATCACAAAGTAGTTCCTGCGAATGCTTCTCTCTAGATTTTATACGTAATCCCGCTTCCAACGAAATCCTCAGAGCCATCCGAATATCCACTTTCTGATTCCACAAAAAGAGTGTTTTAAAACGGCTCTGTAAAAACAAAAGTTCAACTCTGTTAGTTGAATACACACATCATAAACAAGTTTCTGAGAATGCTTCTGTCTAGTTTTTATGGGAAGATATTTCCTTTTTCACCATAGGCCTCAAAGCGCTCGAAATGTCCACTTCCAGATAGTGCAGAAAGAGTGTTTCAAACGTGCTCTATAAAAGGGAATATTCAACTGCTGTGACTTGAATGGAAACATCACAAAGCAGTTTCTGAGAATGCTTCCGTCTAGATTTTATAGGAAGATATTCCCGTTTCCAACGAAATCTTGAAAGCTATCTACATATCAACTTGCAGATTCTACTCAAGGAATGTTTCCAAAATGCTGTATCCAAGCCATGGTTCAACTCTGTTAATTGAGGACATACAGCACAAAGAAGTTTCTGAGAATGCTTCTCTCTAGATTTTATATGAAGATATCCCGTTTCCAATGAAATCCTCAAAGCTATCCAAATATCCACTTGCAGATTCTACAAAAAGATTGTTTCAAAACTGCTGTGTCAAAAGGAAGGTTCAACTCTGTTACTTGAGTACACACATCAAAAAGAAGTTTCTGAGAATGCTTGTTTCTGGTTTTTATGAGAAGATATTTCCTTTTTCACCATAGGCCTCAAAGCGCTGCAAATGTCCACTTCCAAATATTACAAAAAGAGTGTTTCAAACCTGCTCTATGAAAGGAAGTTTTCAACTCTATGAGTGGAATGCAAACATCACAGAGAAGTTTCTGAGAATGCATTCTGTCTTGAGTTTATACGAAGAAATTCCCGTTTCCAACGAAATCTTAAAATCTTTCCAAATATCCACCTGCAGATTCTACAAAGGGAGTGTTTCCAAAATGCTGTATCAAAACAAAGGTTCAACTGTGTTCGTTTAGGACACACATCACCAATAAGTTTCTGAGAATCCTTCTGTCTAGTTTTTATTTGAAGATATTTCCTTTCTCCCCATAGGCCTGAAAGCGCTTGAAATGTCCACTTCCAGATACTACAGAAAGAGAGTTTCAAACCTGCACTATGAAAAGGAATGTTCAATTCTGTGACTTGAATGCAAACATCAGAAAGAAGTTCCTGAGAATGCTTCTCTCTAGATTTTATACGTCATCCCGTTTCCAACGAAATCCACAAAGCTATCCAGTTATCCAATTTCAGATTCCATAAAAAGAGTGTTTTAATATTGCTCTGTAACAGAAATGTTCAACTCTGTTAGTTGAATACACACATCACAAACAAGTTTCTGAGACGGCTTCTGTCTAGTTTTTATGGGAAGATATTTCCTTTTAACCATAGGCCTCAAAGAGCTCGAAATATCCACTTCCAGGTAGTGCCGAAAGAGTGTTTCAAACCTACTCTATAAAAGGGAATATTCAACTCTGTGACTTGAATGCAAACATCACAAAGCAGTTTCTGAGAATGCTTCCGTCTAGATTTTCTATGAAGATATTCCCGTTTCCAACGAAATCTTCAAAGCTATCTAAATATCAACTTGCAGATTCTACTAAAGGAATGTCTCCAAAATGCTGTATCCAAACAAAGGTTCAGCTCTGTGAATTGAGGACATACAGCACAAAGAAGTTTCTGAGAATGCTCCTGTCTGGATTTTATATGAAGATAACCCGTTTCCAACGAAATCCTCAAAGCTATCCAAATATCCACTTGCAGATTCTACCAAAAGAGTGTTTCAAAACTACTCTGTCAAAAGGAAGGTTCAACACTGTTACTTGAGTACACACAACACAAAGAAGTTTCTGAGAATGCTTCTTTCTGGTTTTTATGAGAAGATATTTCCTTTTTCACCATAGGCCTCAAAGCGCTCGAAATGTCCGCTTCCAGGTAGTGCAGAAAGAGTGTTTCAAACCTGCTCTATGAAAGGAAGTGTTCAACTCTACTGAGTTGAATGCAAACATCACAGAGATGTTTCCGAGAATGCTTCTGTCTTGATTTTATATGAAGATATTCCGGTTTCCAACGAAATCTTCAAAGCTATCCAAATATCCACCTGCAGATTCTACAAAAGGAGTGTTTCCAAAATGCTGTATCAAAACAAAGGTTCAACTCTGTTAGTTGAGGACACACATCACAAATAAGTTTCTGAGAATGCTTCTGTCTAGTTTTTATTTGAAGGTATTTCCTTTCTCTCCATAGGCCTGAAAGCGCTTGAAATGCCCACTTCCAGATACTAGAGAAAGAGTGTTTCAAACCTGCTCTATGAAAGGGAATGTTCAATTCTGTGACTTGAATGCAAACATCACAAAGAAGTTCCTGAGAATGCTTCTCTCTAGATATTATATGTCATCCCGTTTCCAACGAAATCCTCAAAGCTATCCAAATATCCACTTGCAGACTCTACAAAAAGAGTGTTTCAAAACTGCTCTGTCAAAAGGATGGTTCAACACTGTTACATGAGTACACACAACACAAAGAAGTTTCTGAGAATGCTTCTTTCTGGTTTCTATGAGAAGATATTTCCTTTTTCACCATAGGCCTCAAAGCGCTCGAAATGTCCTCTTCCAGGTAGTGCAGAAAGAGTGTTTCAAACCTGCTCTATGAAAGGAAGTGTACAACTCCATGAGCTGAATGCAAACATCACTGAGAAGTTTCTGAGAATGCTTCTGTTTGATTTTATCTGAAGAAATTCCCGTTTCCAACGAAATCTTCAAAGCTATCCACATATCCACCTGCAGATTCTACAAAAGGAGTGTTTCCAAAATGCTGTATCAAAACCAAGGTTCAACTCTGTTAGTTGAGGACACACATCACAAATAAGTTTCTGAGAATGCTTCTGTCTAGATTTTATATGAAGATATCCCCTTTCCAACGAATCCCTCTAAGCTATCCAAATATCCACCTGCAGATTCTACAAAAAGAGTGTTTCCAAAATGCTGTATCAAAACAAAGTTTCAACTCTGTTAGTTGAGGACACACATCACAAATAAGTTTGAGGATGCTTCTGTCTAGTTTTTATTCGAAGATATTTCCTTTCTCACCATAGGCCTGAAAGCGCTTGAAATGTCCACTTCCAGATACTACAGAATGAGTGTTTCAAACCTGCTCTATCAAAGTGAATGTTCAATTCCGTGACTTCAATGCAAACATCAGAAAGAAGTTCCTGAGAATGCTTCTCTCTAGATTTTATACGTAATCCCGCTTCCAACGAAATCCTCAGAGCCATCCGAATATCCACTTTCTGATTCCACAAAAAGAGTGTTTTAAAACGGCTCTGTAAAAACAAAAGTTCAACTCTGTTAGTTGAATACACACATCACAAACAAGTTTCTGAGAATGCTTCTGTGTAGTTTTTATGGGAAGATATTTCCTTTTTCACCATAGGCCTCACAGCGTTCGAAATGTCCACTTCCAGATAGTGCAGAAAGAGTGTTTCAAACGTGCTCTATAAAAGAGAATATTCAACTCTGTGACTTGAATGGAAACATCACAAAGCAGTTTCTGAGAATGCCTCCGTCTAGATTTTATATGAAGATATTCCCGTTTCCAACGAAATCTTCAAATCTATCTAAATATCAACTTGCAGATTCTACTAAAGGAATGTTTCCAAAATGCTGTATCCAAGCAATGGTTCAACTCGGTTAATTGAGGACATACAGCACAAAGAAGTTTGTGAGAATGCTTCTGTCTAGATTTTATATGAAGATATCCCGTTTCCAACGAAATCCTCAAAGCTATCCAAATATCCACTTGCAGATTCTACAAAAAGATTGTTTCAAAACTGCTGTGTCAAAAGGAAGGTTCAACTCTGTTACTTGAGTACACACATCAAAAAGAAGTTTCTGAGAATGCTTGTTTCTGGTTTTTATGAGAAGATATTTCCTTTTTCACCATAGGCCTCAAAGCGCTGCAAATGTCCACTTCCAAATATTACAAAAAGAGTGTTTCAAACCTGCTCTATGAAAGGAAGTTTTCAACTCTATGAGTGGAATGAAAACATCACAGAGAAGTTTCGGAGAATGCATCTGTCTTGAGTTTATATGAAGAAATTCCCGTTTCCAACGAAATCTTAAAATCTATCCAAATATCCACCTGCAGATTCTACAAAGGGAGTGTTTCCAAAATGCTGTATCAAAACAAAGGTTCAACTGTGTTCGTTTAGGACACACATCACCAATAAGTTTCTGAGAATCCTTCTGTCTAGTTTTTAATTTGAAGATATTTCCTTTCTCCCCATAGGCCTGAAAGCGCTTGAAATGTCCACTTCCAGATAGTACAGAAAGAGTGTTTCAAACCTGTACTATGAAAAGGAATGTTCAATTCTGTGACTTGAATGCAAACATCAGAAAGAAGTTTCTGAGAATGCTTCTCTCTAGATTTTATACGTAATCCCGTTTCCAACGCAATCCACAAAGCTATCCAATTATCCACTTTCAGATTCCACAAAAAGAGTGTTTTAAAACTGCTCTGTAGAAAGAAATGTTCAACGCTCTTAGTTGAATACACACATCTCAAACAAGTTTCTGAGAAGGCTTCCGTCTAGTTTTTATGGGAAGATATTTCCTTTTTCACCATAGGCCTCAAAGCACTCGAAATCTCCACTTCCAGGGAGTGCAGAAAGAGTGTTTCAAACCTGCTCTGTAAAAGAATATTTAACTCTGTGACTTGAATGCAAACATCACAAAGCAGTTTCTGACAATGCTTCCGTCTAGATTTTTTATGAAGATATTCCCGTTTCCAACGAAATCTTCAAAGCTATCTAAATACCAACTTGCAGATTCTACTAAAGGAATGTTTCCAAAATGCTGTATCCAAACAAAGGTTCAACTCTGTGAATTGAGGACATACAGCACAAAGAAGTTTCTGAGAATGCTTTCTGTCTGGATTTAATATGAAGATAACCCGTTTCCAACGAAATCCTCAAAGCTATCCAAATATCCACTTGCAGATTCTACAAAAAGAGTGTTTCAAAACTGCTCTGTCAAAAGGATGGTTCAACACTGTTACATGAGTACACACAACACAAAGAAGTTTCTGAGAACGCTTCTTTCTGGTTTTTATGAGAGGATATTTCCTTTTTCACCGTAGGCCTCAAAGCGGCTCGAAATGTCCACTTCCAGGTAGTGCAGAAAGAGTGTTTCAAACCTGCTCTATGAAAGGAAGTGTTCAACTCCATGAGCTGAATGCAAACATCACAGAGAAGTTCCTGAGAATGCTTCTGTTTGATTTTATATGAAGAAATTCCCGTTTCCAACGAAATCTTCAAAGCTATCCACATATCCACCTGCAGATTCTTCAAAAGGAGTGTTTCCAAAATGCTGTATCAAAACCAAGGTTCAACTCTGTTAGTTGAGGACACACATCACAAATAAGTTTCTGAGAATGCTTCTGTCTAGATTTTATATGAAGATATCCCCTTTCCAACGAATCCCTCTAAGCTATCCAAATATCCACCTGCAGATTCTACAAAAAGAGTGTTTCCAAAATGCTGTATCAAAACAAAGTTTCAACTCTGTTAGTTGAGGACACACATCACAAATAAGTTTCTGAGAATGCTTCTGTCTAGTTTTAATTTGAAGATATTTCCTTTCTCACCATAGGCCTGAAAGCGCTTGAAATGTCCACTTCCAGATACTACAGCATGAGTGTTTCAAACCTGCTCTATCATAGTGAATGTTCAATTCTGTGACTTCAATGCAAACATCACAAAGTAGTTCCTGAGAATGCTTCTCTCTAGATTTTATATGTAATCCCGCTTCCAACGAAATCCTCAAAGCCATCCGAATATCCACTTTCTGATTCCACAAAAAGATTGTTTTAAAACTGCTCTGTAAAAACAAAAGTTCAAGTCTGTTAGTTGAATACACACATCACAAACAAGTTTCTGAGAATGCTTCCGTCTAGTTTTTATGGGAAGATACTTCCTTTTTCACCATAGGCCTCAAAGCGCTCGAAATCTCCACTTCCAGGGAGTGCAGAAAGAGTGTTTCAAACCTGCTCTGTAAAAGAATATTTAACTCTGTGACTTGAATGCAAACATCACAAAGCAGTTTCTGACAATGCTTCCGTCTAGATTTTTTATGAAGATATTCCCGTTTCCAACGAAATCTTCAAAGCTATCTAAATATCAACTTGCAGATTCTACTAAAGGAAAGTTTCCAAAATGCTGTATCCAAACAAAGGTTCAACTCTGTGAATTGAGGACATACAGCACAAAGAAGTTTCTGAGAATGCTTCTGTCTAGATTTAATATGAAGATAACCCGTTTCCAACGAAATCCTCAAAGCTATCCAAATATCCACTTGCAGATTCTACAAAAAGAGTGTTTCAAAACTGCTCTGTCAAAAGGATGGTTCAACACTGTTACATGAGTACACACAACACAAAGAAGTTTCTGAGAACGCTTCTTTCTGGTTTTTATGAGAGGATATTTCCTTTTTCACCATAGGCCTCAAAGCGCTCGAAATGTCCACTTCCAGGTAGTGCAGAAAGAGTGTTTCAAACCTGCTCTATGAAAGGAAGTGTTCAACTCCATGAGCTGAATGCAAACATCACAGAGAAGTTTCTGAGAATGCTTCTGTTTGATTTTATATGAAGAAATTCCCGTTTCCAACGAAATCTTCAAAGCTATCCACATATCCACCTGCAGATTCTTCAAAAGCAGTGTTTCCAAAATGCTGTATCAAAACCAAGGTTCAACTCTGTTAGTTGAGGACACACATCACAAATAAGTTTCTGAGAATGCTTCTGTCTAGATTTTATATGAAGATATCCCCTTTCCAACGAATCCCTCTAAGCTATCCAAATATCCACCTGCAGATTCTACAAAAAGAGTGTTTCCAAAATGCTGTATCAAAACAAAGTTTCAACTCTGTTAGTTGAGGACACACATCACAAACAAGTTTCTGAGGATGCTTCTGTCTAGTTTTTATTCGAAGATATTTCCTTTCTCACCATAGGCCTGAAAGCGCTTGAAATGTCCACTTCCAGATACTACAGAATGAGTGTTTCAAACCTGCTCTATAAAAGTGAATGTTCAATTCCGTGACTTCAATGCAAACATCAGAAAGAAGTTCCTGAGAATGCTTCTCCCTAGATTTTATATGTAATCCCTCTTCCAACGAAATCCTCAAAGCCATCCGAATATCCACTTTCTGATTCCACAAAAAGATTGTTTTAAAACTGCTCTGTAAAAACAAAAGTTCAAGTCTGTTAGTTGAATACACACATCACAAACAAGTTTCTGAGAATGCTTCTGTCTAGTTTTTATGGGAAGATATTTCCTTTTTCACCATAGGCCTCAAAGCGCTCGAAATGTCCACTTCCAGATAGCGCAGAAAGAGTGTTTCAAACGTGCTCTATAAAAGGGAATATTCAACTCTGTGACTTGAAAGGAAACATCACAAAGCAGTTTCTGAGAATGCTTCCCTCTAGATTTTATATGGAGATATTCCGTTTTCGAACGAAATCTTCAAATCTATCTAAATATCAACTTGCAGATTCTACTCAAGGAATGTTTCCAAAATGCTGTATGCAAGCAATGGTTCAACTCTGTTAATTGAGGTCATACAGCACAAAGAAGTTTCTGAGAATGCTTCTGTCTAGATTTTATATGAAGATATCCCGTTTCCAAAGAAATCCTCAAAGCTATCCAAATATCTACTTCCAGATTCTACAAAAAGACTGTTTCAAAACGGCTCTGTCAAAAGTAAGGTTCAACTCTGTTACTTGAGAACACACATCACAAGGAAGTTTCTGAGAATGCTTGTTTCTGGTTTTTATGAGAAGATATTTCCTTTTTCACCATAGGCCTCAAAGCGCTGCAAATTTCCACTTCCAAATATTACAAAAAGAGTGTTTCAAACCTGCTCTATGAAAGGAAGTTTTCAACTCTATGAGTGGAATGGAAACATCACAGAGAAGTTTCGGAGAATGCATCTGTCTTGAGTTTATAAGAAGAAATTCCCGTTTCCAACGAAATCTTAAAATCTATCCAAATATCCACCTGCAGATTCTACAAAGGGAGTGTTTCCAAAATGCTGTATCAAAACAAAGGTTCAACTGTGTTCGTTTAGGACACACATCACCAATAAGTTTCTGAGAATCCTTCTGTCTAGTTTTTATTTGAAGATATTTCCTTTCTCCCCGTAGGCCTGAAAGCGCTTGAAATGTCCACTTCCAGATACTACAGAAAGAGTGTGTTTCAAACTTGCACTCTGAAAAGGAATGTTCAATTCTGTGACTTGAATGCAAACATCAGAAAGAAGTTCCTGAGAATGCTTCTCTCTAGATTTTATACGTCATCCCGTTTCCAACGAAATCCACAAAGCTATCCAATTATCCACTTTCAGATTCCACAGAAAGAGTGTTTTAAAATTGCTCTGTAACAGAAATGTTCAACTCTGGTAGTTGAATACACACATCACAAACAAGTTTCTGAGACGGCTTCTGTCTAGTTTTTATGGGAAGATATTTCCTTTTAACCATAGGCCTCAAAGAGCTCGAAATATCCACTTCCAGGTAGTGCCGAAAGAGTGTTTCAAACCTACTCTATAAAAGGGAATATTCAACTCTGTGACTTGAATGCAAACATCACAAAGCAGTTTCTGAGAATGCTTCCGTCTAGATTTTCTATGAAGATATTCCCGTTTCCAACGAAATCTTCAAAGCTATCTAAATATCAACTTGCAGATTCTACTAAAGGAATGTCTCCAAAATGCTGTATCCAAACAAAGGTTCAGCTCTGTGAATTGAGGACATACAGCACAAAGAAGTTTCTGAGAATGCTCCTGTCTGGATTTTATATGAAGATAACCCGTTTCCAACGAAATCCTCAAAGCTCTCCAAATATCCACCTGCAGATTCTACCAAAAGAGTGTTTCAAAACTGCTCTGTCAAAAGGAAGGTTCAACACTGTTACTTGAGTACACACAACACAAAGAAGTTTCTGAGAATGCTTCTTTCTGGTTTTTATGAGAAGATATTTCCTTTTTCACCATAGGCCTCAAAGAGCTCGAAATGTCCGCTTCCAGGTAGGGCAGAAAGAGTGTTTCAAACCTGCTCTATGAAAGGACGTGTTCAACTCTACTGAGTTGAATGCAAACATCACAGAGATGTTTCCGAGAATGCTTCTGTCTTGATTTTATAGGAAGATATTCCGGTTTCCAACGAAATCTTCAAAGCTATCCAAATATCCACCTGCAGATTCTACAAAAGGAGTGTTTCCAAAATGCTGTATCAAAACAAAGGTTCAACTCTGTTAGTTGAGGACACACATCACAAATAAGTTTCTGAGAATGCTTCTGTCTAGTTTTTATTTGAAGGTATTTCCTTTCTCTCCATAGGCCTGAAAGCGCTTGAAATGCCCACTTCCAGATACTAGAGAAAGAGTGTTTCAAACCTGCTCTATGAAAGGGAATGTTCAATTCTGTGACTTGAATGCAAACATCACAAAGAAGTTCCTGAGAATGCTTCTGTCTAGATTTAATATGAAGATAACCCGCTTCCAACGAAATCCTCAAAGCTATCCAAATATCCACTTGCAGATTCTACAAAAAGACTGTTTCAAAACTGCTCTGTCAAAAGGATGGTTCAACACTGTTACATGAGTACACACAACACAAAGAAGTTTCTGAGAACGCTTCTTTCTGGTTTTTATGAGAAGATATTTCCTTTTTCACCATAGGACTCAAAGCGCTTGATATGTCCACTTCCTGGTAGTGCAGAAAGAGTGTTTCAAACCTACTCTATGAAAGGAAGTGTTCAACTCCATGAGCTGAATGCAAACATCACAGAGAAGTTTCTGAGAACGCTTCTGTTTGATTTTATATGAAGAAATTCCCGTTTCCAACGAAATCTTCAGTAGCTATCCACATATCCACCTGCAGATTCTACAAAAGGAGTGTTTCCAAAATGCTGTATCAAAACCAAGGTTCAACTCTGTTAGTTGAGGACACACATCACAAATAAGTTTCTGAGAATGCTTCTGTCTAGATTTTATATGAATTTATCCCCTTTCCAACGAATCCCTCTAAGCTATCCAAGTATCCACCTGCAGATTCTACAAAAAGAGTGTTTCCAAAATGCTGTATCAAAACAAAGTTTCAACTCTGTTAGTTGAGGACACACATCACAAATAAGTTTCTGAGGATGCTTCTGTCTAGTTTTAATTTGAAGATATTTCCTTTCTCCCCATAGGCCTGAAAGCGCTTGAAATGTCCACTTCCAGATACTACAGAATGAGTGTTTCAAACCTGCTCTATCAAAGTGAATGTTCAATTCTGTGACTTCAATGCAAACATCACAAAGTAGTTCCTGAGAATGCTTCTCTCTACATTTTATATGTAACCCCGCTTCCAACGAAATCCTCAAAGCCATCCGAATATCCACTTTCTGATTCCACAAAAAGATTGTTTTAAAACTGCTCTGTAAAAACAAAAGTTCAAGTCTGTTAGTTGAATACACACATCACAAACAAGTTTCTGAGAATGCTTCTGTCTAGTTTTTATGGGAAGATATTTCCTTTTTCACCATAGGCCTCAAAGCGCTCGAAATGTCCACTTCCAGATAGTGCCGAAAGAGTGTTTCAAACGTGCTCTATAAAAGGGAATATTCAACTCTGTGACTTGAATGGAAACATCACAAAGCAGTTTCTGAGAATGCCTCCGTCTAGATTTTATATGAAGATATTCCCGTTTCCAACGAAATCTTCAAATCTATCTAAATATCAACTTGCAGATTCTACTAAAGGAATGTTTCCAAAATGCTGTATCCAAGCAATGGTTCAACTCTGTTAATTGAGGACATACAGCACAAAGAAGTTTCTGAGAATGCTTCTTTCTAGATTTTATATGAAGATATCCCGTTTCCAACGAAATCCTCAAAGCTATCCAAATATCCACTTGCAGATTCTACAAAAAGATTGTTTCAAAACTGCTGTGTCAAAAGGAAGGTTCAACTCTGTTACTTGAGTACACACATCAAAAAGCAGTTTCCTGAGAATGCTTTGTTTCTGGTTTTTATGAGAAGATATTTCCTTTTTCACCATAGGCCTCAAAGCGCTGCAAATGTCCACTTCCAAATATTACAGAAAGAGTGTTTCAAACCTGCTCTATGAAAGGAAGTTTTCAACTCTATGAGTGGAATGCAAACATCACAAAGAAGTTTCTGAGAATGCATCTGTCTTGAGATTATATGAAGAAATTCCCGTTTCCAACGAAATCTTAAAATCTATCCAAATATCCACCTGCAGATTCTACAAAAGGAGTGTTTCCAAAATGCTGTATCAAAACAAAGGTTCAACTGTGTTCGTTTAGGACACACATCACAAATAAGTTTCTGAGAAGCCTTCTGTCTAGTTTTTATTTGAAGATATTTCCTTCCTCCCCAGAGGCCTGAAAGCGCTTGAAATGTCCCCTTCCAGATACTACAGAAAGAGTGTTTCAAACCTGCACTATGAAAAGGAATGTTCAATTCTGTGACTTGAATGCAAACATCAGAAAGAAGTTCCTGAGAATGCTTCTCTCTAGATTTTATTCGTAATCCCGTTTCCAACGAAATCCACAAAGCTATCCAGTTATCCACTTTCAGATTCCACAAAAAGAGTGTTTTAAAACTGCTCTGTAAAAAGAAATGTTCAACGCTCTTAGTTGAATACACACATCTCAAACAAGTTTCTTAGAAGGCTTCCGACTAGTTTTTCTGGGAAGATATTTCCTTTTTCACCATAGGCCTCAAAGCGCTCGAAATCTCCACTTCCAGGTAGTGCAGAAAGAGTGTTTCAAACCTGCTCTGTAAAAGACTATTTAACTCTGTGACTTGAATGCAAACATCACAAAGCAGTTTCTGACAATGCTCCCTCTAGATTTTATATGGAGATATTCCGTTTTCGAACGAAATCTTCAAATCTATCTAAATATCAACTTGCAGATTCTACTCAAGGAATGTTTCCAAAATGCTGTATGCAAGCAATGGTTCAACTCTGTTAATTGAGGTCATACAGCAGAAAGAAGTTTCTGAGAATGCTTCCTGTCTGGATTTTATATGAAGATATCCCGTTTCCAACGAACTCCTCAAATCTATCCAAATATCCACTTGCAGATTCTACAAAAAGATTGTTTCAAATCTGCTGGGTCAATAGGAAGGTTCAACTCTGTTACTTGAGTACACACATCAAAAAGAAGTTTCTGAGAATGCTCGTTTCTGGTTTTTATGAGAAGATATTTCCTTTTTCACCATAGGCCTCAAAGCGCTGCAAATGTCCACTTCCAAATATTACAAAAAGAGTGTTTCAAACCTGCTCTATGAAAGGAAGTTTTCAACTCTATGAGTGGAATGCAAACATCACAGAGAAGTTTCTGAGAATGCATCTGTCTTGAGTTTCTATGAAGAAATTCCCGTTTCCAACGAAATCTTAAAATCTATCCAAATATCCACCTGCAGATTCTACAAAAGGAGTGTTTCCAAAATGCTGTATCAAAACAAAGGTTCAACTGTGTTCGTTTAGGACACACATCACAAATAAGTTTCTGAGAAGCCTTCTGTCTAGTTTTTATTTGAAGATATTTCCTTCCTCCCCAGAGGCCTGAAAGCGCTTGAAATGTCCCCTTCCAGATACTACAGAAAGAGTGTTTCAAACCTGCACTATGAAAAGGAATGTTCAATTCTGTGACATGAATGCAAACATCAGAAAGAAGTTCCTGAGAATGCTTCTCTCTAGATTTTATTCGTAATCCCGTTTCCAACGAAATCCACAAAGCTATCCAGTTATCCACTTTCAGATTCCACAAAAAGAGTGTTTTAAAACTGCTCTGTAAAAAGAAATGTTCAACGCTCTTAGTTGAATACACACATCTCAAACAAGTTTCTGAGAAGGCTTCCGACTAGTTTTTCTGGGAAGATATTTCCTTTTTCACCATAGGCCTCAAAGCGCTCGAAATCTCCACTTCCAGGTAGTGCAGAAAGAGTGTTTCAAACCTGCTCTGTAAAAGACTATTTAACTCTGTGACTTGAATGCAAACATCACAAAGCAGTTTCTGACAATGCTTCCGTCTAGATTTTTTATGAAGATATTCCCGTTTCCAATGAAATCTTCAAAGCTATCTAAATATCCACTTGCAGATTCTACTAAAGGAATGTTTCCAAGATGCTGTATCCAAACAAAGGTTCAACTCTGTGAATTGAGGACATACAGCACAAAGAAGTTTCTCAGAATGCTTCTGTCTAGATTTAATATGAAGATAACCCGTTTCCAACGAAATCCTCAAAGCTATCCAAATATCCACTTGCAGATTCTACAAAAAGAGTGTTTCAAAACTGCTCTGTCAAAAGGATGGTTCAACACTGTTACATGAGTACACACAACTCAAAGAAGTTTCTGAGAATGCTTCCTTCTGGTTTTTATGAGAAGATATTTCCTTTTTCACCATAGGCCTCAAAGCGCTCGAAATGTCCACTTCCAGGTAGTGCAGAAAGAGTGTTTCAAACCTGCTCTATGAAAGGAAGTGTTCAACTCCATGAGCTGAAGGCAAACATCACAGAGAAGTTTCTGAGAATGCTTCTGTTTGATTTTATATGAAGAAATTCCCGATTCCAACGAAATCTTCAAAGCTATCCACATATCCACCTGCAGATTCTACAAAAGGAGTGTTTCCAAAATGCTGTATCAAAACCAAGGTTCAACTCTGTTAGTTGAGGACACACATCACAAATAAGTTTCTGAGAATGCTTCTGTCTAGATTTTATATGAAGATATCCCCTTTCCAACGAATCCCTCTAAGCTATCCAAATAGCCACCTGCAGATTCTACAAAAGGAGTGTTTCCAAAAGGCTGTATCAAAACAAAGTTTCAACTCTGTTAGTTGGGGACACACATCACAAATAACTTTCTGAGGATGCTTCTGTCTAGTTTTTATTTGAAGATATCTCCTTTCTCACCATAGGCCTGAAAGCGCTTGAAATGTCCACTTCCAGATACTACAGAATGAGTGTTTCAAACCTGCTCTATCAAAGTGAATGTTCAATTCTGTGACTTCAATGCAAACATCACAAAGAAGTTCCTGAGAATGCTTCTCTCTAGATTTTATATGTAATCCCGCTTCCAACGAAATCCTCAATGCCATCCGAATATCCACTTTCTGATTCCACAAAAAGAGTGTTTTAAAACGGCTCTGTAAAAACAAAAGTTCAACTCTGTTAGTTGAATACACACATCACAAACAAGTTTCTGAGAATGCTTCTGTCTAGTTTTTATGGGAAGATATTTCCTTTTTCACCATAGGCCTCAAAGCGCTCGAAATGTCCACTTCCAGATAGTGCAGAAAGAGTGTTTCAAACGTGCTCTATAAAAGAGAATATTCAACTCCGTGACTTGAATGGGAACGTCACAAAGCAGTTTCTGAGAATGCTTCCGTCTAGATTTTATATGAAGATATTCCCGTTTCCAACGAAATCTTCAAAGCTATCTACATATCAACTTGCAGATTCTACTCAAGGAATGTTTCCAAAATGCTGTATCCAAGCCATGGTTCAACTCTGTTAATTGAGGACATACAGCACAAAGAAGTTTCTGAGAATGCTTCTGTCTAGATTTTATATGAAGATATCCCGTTTCCAATGAAATCCTCAAAACTATCCAAATATCCACTTGCAGATTCTACAAAAAGATTGTTTCAAAACTGCTGTGTCAAAAGGAAGGTTCAACTCTGTTACTTGAGTACACACATCAAAAAGAAGTTTCTGAGAATGCTTGTTTCTGGTTTTTATGAGAAGATATTTCCTTTTTCACCATAGGCCTCAAAGCGCTGCAAATGTCCACTTCCAAATATTACAGAAAGAGTGTTTCAAACCTGCTCTATGAAAGGAAGTTTTCAACTCTATGAGTGGAATGCAAACATCACAGAGAAGTTTCTGAGAATGCATCTGTCTTGAGTTTCTATGAAGAAATTCCCGTTTCCAACGAAATCTTAAAATCTATCCAAATATCCACCTGCAGATCCTACAAAAGGAGTGTTTCCAAAATGCTGTATCAAAACAAAGGTTCAACTGTGTTCGTTTAGGACACACATCACAAATAAGTTTCTGAGAAGCCTTCTGTCTAGTTTTTATTTGAAGATATTTCCTTCCTCCCCAGAGGCCTGAAAGCGCTTGAAATGTCCCCTTCCAGATACTACAGAAAGAGTGTTTCAAGCCTGCACTATGAAAAGGAATGTTCAATTCTGTGACTTGAATGCAAACATCAGAAAGAAGTTCCTGAGAATGCTTTCTCTCTAGTATTTATACGTCATCCCGTTTCCAACGAAATCCACAAAGCTATCCAATTATCCACTTTCAGATTCCACAAAAAGAGTGTTTTAAAATTGCTCTGTAACAGAAATGTTCAACTCTGGTAGTTGAATACACACATCACAAACAAGTTTCTGAGACGGCTTCTGTCTAGTTTTTATGGGAAGATATTTCCTTTTAACCATAGGCCTCAAAGAGCTCGAAATATCCACTTCCAGGTAGTGCCGAAAGAGTGTTTCAAACCTACTCTATAAAAGGGAATATTCAACTCTGTGACTTGAATGCAAACATCACAAAGCAGTTTCTGAGAATGCTTCCGTCTAGATTTTCTATGAAGATATTCCCGTTTCCAACGAAATCTTCAAAGCTATCTAAATATCAACTTGCAGATTGTACTAAAGGAATGTCTCCAAAATGCTGTATCCAAACAAAGGTTCAGCTCTGTGAATTGAGGACATACAGCACAAAGAAGTTTCTGAGAATGCTCCTGTCTGGATTTTATAGGAAGATAACCCGTTTCCAACGAAATCCTCAAAGCTATCCAAATATCCACTTGCAGATTCTACCAAAAGAGTGTTTCAAAACTGCTCTGTCAAAAGGAAGGTTCAACACTGTTACTTGAGTACACACAACACAAAGAAGTTTCTGAGAATGCTTCTTTCTGGTTTTTATGAGAAGATATTTCCTTTTTCACCATAGGCCTCAAAGCGCTCGAAATGTCCGCTTCCAGGTAGTGCAGAAAGAGTGTTTCAAACCTGCTCTATGAAAGGAAGTGTTCAACTCTACTGAGTTGAATGCAAACATCACAGAGATGTTTCCGAGAATGCTTCTGTCTTGATTTTATATGAAGATATTCCGGTTTCCAACGAAATCTTCAAAGCTATCCAAATATCCACCTGCAGATTCTACAAAAGGAGTGTTTCCAAAATGCTGTATCAAAACAAAGGTTCAACTCTGTTAGTTGAGGACACACATCACAAATAAGTTTACTGAGAATGCTTTCTGTCTAGTTTTTATTTGAAGGTATTTCCTTTCTCTCCATAGGCCTGAAAGCGCTTGAAATGCCCACTTCCAGATACTAGAGAAAGAGTGTTTCAAACCTGCTCTATGAAAGGGAATGTTCAATTCTGTGACTTGAATGCAAACATCACAAAGAAGTTCCTGAGAATGCTTCTGTCTAGATTTAATATGAAGATAACCCGTTTCCAACGAAATCCTCAAAGCTATCCAAATATCCACTTGCAGATTCTACAAAAAGTCTGTTTCAAAACTGCTCTGTCAAAAGGATGGTTCAACACTGTTACATGAGTACACACAACACAAAGAAGTTTCTGAGAACGCTTCTTTCTGGTTTTTATGACAAGATATTTCCTTTTTCACCATAGGCCTCAAAGCCCTCGAAATGTCCACTTCCAGGTAGTGCAGAAAGAGTGTTTCAAACCTGCTCTATGAAAGGAAGTGTTCAACTCCATGAGCTGAATGCAAACATCACAGAGAAGTTTCTGAGAATGCTTCTGTTTGATTTTATATGAAGAAATTCCCGTTTCCAACGAAATCTTCAGAGCTATCCACATATCCACCTGCAGATTCTACAAAAGGAGTGTTTCCAAAATGCTGTATCAAAACCAAAGTTCAACTCTGTTAGTTGAGGACACACATCACAAATAAGTTTCTGAGAATGCTTCTGTCTAGATTCTATATGAAGATATCCCCTTTCCAACGAATCCCTCTAAGCTATCCAAATATCCACCTGCAGATTCTACAAAAAGAGTGTTTCCAAAATGCTGTATCAAAACAAAGTTTCAACTCTGTTAGTTGAGGACACACATCACAAATAAGTTTGAGGATGCTTCTGTCTAGTTTTTATTTGAAGATATTTCCTTTCTCACCATAGGCCTGAAAGCGCTTGAAATGTCCACTTCCAGATACTACAGAATGAGTGTTTCAAACCTGCTCTATCGAAGTGAATGTTCAATTCTGTGACTTCAATGCAAACATCACAAAGTAGTTCTTGAGAATGCTTTTCTCTAGATTTTATATGTAATCCCGCTTCCAACGAAATCCTCAGAGCCATCAGAATATCCACTTTCTGATTCCACAAAAAGAGTGTTTTAAAACTGCTCTGTAGAAACAAAAGTTCAACTCTGTTAGTTGAATACACACATCACAAACAAGTTTCTGAGAATGCTTCTGTCTAGTTTTTATGGGAAGATATTTCCTTTTTCACCATAGGCCTCAAAGTGCTCGAAATGTCCACTTCCAGATAGTGCAGAAAGAGTGTTTCAAACGTGCTCTATAAAAGAGAATATTCAACTCTGTGACTTGAATGGAAACATCACAAAGCAGTTTCTGAGAATGCTTCCCTCTAGATTTTATATGGAGATATTCCGTTTTCGAACGAAATCTTCAAATCTATCTAAATATCAACTTGCAGATTCTACTCAAGGAATGTTTCCAAAATGCTGTATGCAAGCAATGGTTCAACTCTGTTAATTGAGGTCATACAGCACAAAGAAGTTTCTGAGAATGCTTCTGTCTAGATTTTATATGAAGACATCCCGTTTCCAACGAAATCCTCAAAGCTATCCAAATATCCACTTGCAGATTCTACAAAAAGATAGTTTCAAAACTGCTGTGTCAAAAGGAAGGTTCAACTCTGTTACTCGAGTACACACATCAAAAAGAAGTTTCTGAGAATGCTTGTTTCTGGTTTTTATGAGAAGATATTTCCTTTTTCACCATAGGCCTCAAAGCACTGCAAATCTCCACTTCCAAATATTACAAAAAGAGTGTTTCAAACCTGCTCTATGAAAGGAAGTTTTCAACTCTATGAGTGGAATGTAAACATTACAGAGAAGTTTCTGAGAATGCATCTGTCTTGAGTTTATATGAAGAAATTCCCGTTTCCAACGAAATCTTAAAATCTATCCAAATATCCACCTGCAGATTCTACAAAGGGAGTGTTTCCAAAATGCTGTATCAAAACAAAGGTTCAACTGTGTTCGTTTAGGACACACATCACCAATAAGTTTCTGAGAATCCTTCTGTCTAGTTTTTATTTGAAGATATTTCCTTTCTCCCCATAAGGCCTGAAAGCGCTTGAAATGTCCACTTCCAGATACTACAGAAAGAGTGTTTCAAACCTGCACTATGAAAAGGAATGTTCAATTCTGTGACTTGAATGCAAACATCAGAAAGAAGTTCCTGAGAATGCTTCTCTCTAGATTTTATACGTCATCCCGTTTCCAACGAAATCCACAAAGCTATCCAATTATCCACTTTCAGATTCCACAGAAAGAGTGTTTTAAAATTGCTCTGTAACAGAAATGTTCAACTCTGGTAGTTGAATACACACATCACAAACAAGTTTCTGAGACGGCTTCTGTCTAGTTTTTATGGGAAGATATTTCCTTTTAACCATAGGCCTCAAAGAGCTCGAAATATCCACTTCCAGGTAGTGCCGAAAGAGTGTTTCAAACCTACTCTATAAAAGGGAATATTCAACTCTGTGACTTGAATGCAAACATCACAAAGCAGTTTCTGAGAATGCTTCCGTCTAGATTTTTTATGAAGATATTCCCGTTTCCAACGAAATCTTCAAAGCTATCTAAATATCCATTTGCAGATTCTACTAAAGGAATGTTTCCAAGATGCTGTATCGAAACAAAGGTTCAACTCTGTGAATTGAGGACATACAGCACAAAGAAGTTTCTCAGAATGCTTCTGTCTAGATTTAATATGAAGATAACCCGTTTCCAACGAAATCCTCAAAGCTATCCAAATATCCACTTGCAGATTCTACAAAAAGACTGTTTCAAAACTGCTGTGTCAAAAGGATGGTTCAACACTGTTACATGAGTACACACAACACAAAGAAGTTTCTGAGAATGCTTCTTTCTGGTTTTTATGAGAAGATATTTCCTTTTTCACCATAGGCCTCAAAGCGCTCGAAATGTCCGCTTCCAGGTAGTGCAGAAAGAGTGTTTCAAACCTGCTCTATGAAAGGAAGTGTTCAACTCTACTGAGTTGAATGCAAACATCACAGAGATGTTTCCGAGAATGCTTCTGTCTTGATTTTATATGAAGATATTCCGGTTTCCAACGAAATCTTCAAAGCTATCCAAATATCAACCTGCAGATTCTACAAAAGGAGTGTTTCCAAAATGCTGTATCAAAACAAAGGTTCAACTCTGTTAGTTGAGGACACACATCACAAATAAGTTTCTGAGAATGCTTCTGTCTAGTTTTTATTTGAAGGTATTTCCTTTCTCTCCATAGGCCTGAAAGCGCTTGAAATGCCCACTTCCAGATACTAGAGAAAGAGTGTTTCAAACCTGCTCTATGAAAGGGAATGTTCAATTCTGTGACTTGAATGCAAACATCACAAAGAAGTTCCTGAGAATGCTTCTCTCTAGATATTATATGTCATCCCGTTTCCAACGAAATCCTCAAAGCTATCCAAATATCCACTTGCAGATTCTACAAAAAGAGTGTTTCAAAACTGCTCTCTCAAAAAGATGGTTCAACACTGTTACATGAGTACACACAACACAAAGAAGTTTCTGAGAATGCTTCCTTCTGGATTTTATGAGAAGATATTTCCTTTTTCACCATAGGCCTCAAAGCGCTCGAAATGTCCACTTCCATGTAGTGCAGAAAGAGTGTTTCAAACCTGCTCTATGAAAGGAAGTGTTCAAATCCATGAGCTGAATGCAAACATCACAGAGAAGTTTCTGAGAATGCTTCTGTTTGATTTTATATGAAGAAATTCCCGATTCCAACGAAATCTTCAAAGCTATCCACATATCCACCTGCAGATTCTACAAAAGGAGTGTTTCCGATATGCTGTATCAAAACCAAGGTTCAACTCTGTTAGTTGAGGACACACATCACAAATAAGTTTCTGAGAATGCTTCTGTCAAGATTTTATATGAAGGTATCCCCTTTCCAACGAATCCCTCTAAGATATCCAAATAGCCACCTGCAGATTCTACGAAAGGAGTGTTTCCAAAATGTTGTATCCAAACAAAGTTTCAACTCTGTTAGTTGAGGACACACATCACAAATAAGTTTCTGAGGATGCTTCTGTCTAGTTTTTATTTGAAGATATTTCCTTTCTCACCATAGGCCTGAAAGCGCTTGAAATGTCCACTTCCAGATACTAGAGCATGAGTGTTTCAAACCTGCTCTATCAAAGTGAATGTTCAATTCTGTGACTTCAATGCAAACATCACAAAGTAGTTCCTGAGAATGCTTCTCTCTAGATTTTATATGTAATCCCGCTTCCAACGAAATCCTCAAAGCCATCCGAAAATCCACTTTCTGATACCACAAAAAGATTGTTTTAAAACTGCTCTGTAAAAACAAAAGTTCAAGTCTGTTAGTTGAATACACACATCACAAACAAGTTTCTGAGAATGCTTCTGTCTAGTTTTTATGTGAAGATATTTCCTTTCTCCCCATAGGCCTGAAAGCGCTTGAAATGTCCACTTCCAGATAGTGCAGAAAGAGTGTTTCAAACGTGCTCTATAAAAGAGAATATTCAACTCTGTGACTTGAATGGAAACATCACAAAGCAGTTTCTGAGAATGCCTCCGTCTAGATTTTATAGGAAGATATTCCTGTTTCCAACGAAATCTTCAAATCTATCTAAATATCAACTTGCAGATTCTACTAAAGGAATGTTTCCAAAATGCTGTATCCAAGCAATGGTTCAACTCTGTTAATTGAGGACATACAGCACAAAGAAGTTTCTGAGAATGCTTCTGTCTAGATTTTATATGAAGATATCCCGTTTCCAACGAAATCCTCAAAGCTATCCAAATATCCACTTGCAGATTCTACAAAAAGATTGTTTCAAAACTGCTGTGTCAAGAGGAAGGTTCAACTCTGTTACTTGAGTACACACATCAAAAAGAAGTTTCTGAGAATGCTTGTTTCTGGTTTTTATGAGAAGATATTTCCTTTTTCACCATAGGCCTCAAAGCGCTGCAAATGTCCACTTCCAAATATTACAAAAAGAGTGTTTCAAACCTGCTCTATGAAAGGAAGTTTTCAACTCTATGAGTGGAATGCAAACATCACAGAGAAGTTTCTGAGAACGCATCTGTCTTGAGTTTATATGAAGAACTTCCCGTTTCCAATGAAATCTTAAAATCTATCCAAATATCCCCCTGCAGATTCTACAAAAGGAGTGTTACCAAAATGCTGTATCAAAACAAAGGTTCAAATGTGTTCGTTTAGGACACACATCACAAATAAGTTTCTGAGAATCCTTCTGTCTGGTTTTTATTTGAAGAGATTTCCTTTCTCCCCGTAGGCCTGAAAGCGCTTGAAATGTCCACTTCCAGATACTACAGAAAGAGTGTTTCAAACCTGCACTCTGAAAAGGAATGTTCAATTCTGTGACTTGAATGCAAACATCAGAAAGAAGTTCCTGAGAATGCTTCTCTCTAGATTTTATATGTCATCCCGCTTCCAACGAAATCCTCAAAGCTATCCAAACTTCCACTTTCAGATTCCACAAAAAGAGTGTTTTAAAACTGCTCTGTTAAAAGAAATGTTCAACTCTCCTAGTTGAATACACACATCTCAAACAAGTTTCGGAGAAGGCTTCTGTCTAGTTTTTATGGGAAGATATTTCCTTTTAACCATAGGCCTCAAAGAGCTCGAAATATCCACTTCCAGGTAGTGCCGAAAGAGTGTTTCAAACCTACTCTATAAAAGGGAATATTCAACTCTGTGACTTGAATGCAAACATCACAAAGCAGTTTCTGAGAATGCTTCCGTCTAGATTTTCTATGAAGATATTCCCGTTTCCAACGAAATCTTCAAAGCTATCTAAATATCAACTTGCAGATTCTACTAAAGGAATGCCTCCAAAATGCTGTATCCAAACAAAGGTTCAGCTCTGTGAATTGAGGATATACAGCACAAAGAAGTTTCTGAGAATGCTCCTGTCTGGATTTTATAAGAAGATAACCCGTTTCCAACGAAATCCTCAAAGCTATCCAAATATCCACTTGCAGATTCTACCAAAAGAGTGTTTCAAAACTGCTCTGTCAAAAGGAAGGTTCAACACTGTTACTTGAGTACACACAACACAAAGAAGTTTCTGAGAATGCTTCTTTCTGGTTTTTATGAGAAGATATTTCCTTTTTCACCATAGGCCTCAAAGCGCTCGAAATGTCCGCTTCCAGGTAGTGCAGAAAGAGTGTTTCAAACCTGCTCTATGAAAGGAAGTGTTCAACTCTACTGAGTTGAATGCAAACATCACAGAGATGTTTCCGAGAATGCTTCTGTCTTGGTTTTATATGAAAATATTCCGGTTTCCAAAGAAATCTTCAAAGCTATCCAAATATCCACCTGCAGATTCTACAAAAGAGTGTTTCCAAAATGCTGTATCAAAACAAAGGTTCAACTCTGTTAGTTGAGGACACACATCACAAATAAGTTTCTGAGGATGCTTCTGTCTAGTTTTTATTTGAAGGTATTTCCTTTCTCTCCATAGGCCTGAAAGCGCTTGAAATGCCCACTTCCAGATACTAGAGAAAGAGTGTTTCAAACCTGCTCTATGAAAGGGAATGTTCAATTCTGTGACTTGAATGCAAACATCACAAAGAAGTTCCTGAGAATGCTTCTCTCTAGATATTATATGTCATCCCGTTTCCAACGAAATCCTCAAAGCTATCCAAATATCCACTTGCAGATTCTACAAAAAGAGTGTTTCAAAACTGCTCTGTCAAAAGGATGGTTCAACACTGTTACATGAGTACACACAACACAAAGAAGTTTCTGAGAATGCTCCTTCTGGTTTTTATGGGAAGATATTTCCTTTTTCACCATAGGCCTCAAAGCGCTCGAAATGTCCACTTCCAGGTAGTGCAGAAAGAGTGTTTCAAACCTGCTCTATGAAAGGAAGTGTTCAACTCCATGAGCTGAATGCAAACATCACAGAGAAGTTTCTGAGAATGCTTCTGTTTGATTTTATATGAAGAAATTCCGGATTCCAACGAAATCTTCAAAGCTATCCACATATCCACCTGCAGATTCTACAAAAGGAGTGTTTCCAAAATGCTGTATCAAAACCAAGGTTCAACTCTGTTAGTTGAGGGCACACATCACAAATAAGTTTCTGAGAATGCTTCTGTCTAGATTTTATATGAAGATATTCCCTTTCCAACGAATCCCTCTAAGCTATCCAAATATCCACCTGCAGATTCTACAAAAAGAGTGTTTCCAAAATGCTGTATCAAAACAAAGTTTCAACTCTGTTAATTGAGGACACACATCACAAATAAGTTTCTGAGGATGCTTCTGTCTAGTTTTTATTTGAAGATATTTCCTTTCTCCCCATAGGCCTGAAAGCGCTTGAATTATCCGCTTCCAGATACTACAGAATGAGTGTTTCAAACCTGCTCTATCAAAGTGAATGTTCAATTCTATGACTTCAATGCAAACATCACAAAGTAGTTCCTGAGAATGCTTCTCTCTAGATTTTATATGTAATCCCGCTTCCAACGAAATCCTCAGAGCCATCCGAATATCCACTTTCTGATTCCACAAAAAGAGTGTTTTAAAACGGCTCTGTAAAAACAAAAGTTCAACTCTGTTAGTTGAATACACACATCACAAACAAGTTTCTGAGAATGCTTCTGTCTAGTTTTTATGGGAAGATATTTCCTTTTTCACCATAGGCCTCAAAGCGCTCGAAATGTCCACTTCCAGATAGTGCAGAAAGAGTGTTTCAAACGTGCTCTATAAAAGGGAATATTCAACTCTGTGACTTGAATGGAAACATCACAAAGCAGTTTCTGAGAATGCTTCCCTCTAGATTTTATATGGAGATATTCCGTTTTCGAACGAAATCTTCAAATCTATCTAAATATCAACTTGCAGATTCTACTCAAGGAATGTTTCCAAAATGCTGTATGCAAGCAATGGTTCAACTCTGTTAATTGAGGTCATACAGCACAAAGAAGTTTCTGAGAATGCTCCTGTCTGGATTTTATATGAAGATATCCCGTTTCCAACGAACTCCTCAAATCTATCCAAATATCCACTTGCAGATTCTACAAAAAGATTGTTTCAAAACTGCTGGGTCAATAGGAAGTTTCAACTCTGTTACTTGAGTACACACATCAAAAAGAAGTTTCTGAGAATGCTTGTTTCTGGTTTTTATCACAAGATATTTCCTTTTTCACCATAGGCCTCAAAGCGCTGCAAATGTCCACTTCCAAATATTACAAAAAGAGTGTTTCAAACCTGCTCTATGAAAGGAAGTTTTCAACTCTATGAGTGGAATGCAAACATCACAGAGAAGTTTCTGAGAATGCATCTGTCTTCAGCTTCTATGCAGAAATTCCCGTTTCCAAAGAAATCTTAAAATCTATCCAAATATCCACCTGCAGATCCTACAAAAGGAGTGTTTCCAAAATGCTGTATCAAAACAAAGGTTCAACTGTGTTCGTTTAGGACACACATCACAAATAAGTTTCTGAGAATCCTTCTGTCTAGTTTTTATTTGAAGATATTTCCTTTCTCCCCATAGGCCTGAAAGCCCTTGAAAAGTAAACTTCCAGATACTACAGAAAGAGTGTTTCAAACCTGCACTATGAAAAAGAATGTTCAATTCTGTGACTTGAATGCAAACATCAGAAAGAAGTTCCTGAGAATGCTTCTCTCTAGATTTTATACGTCATCCCGTTTCCAACGAAATCCACAAAGCTATCCAATTATCCACTTTCAGATTCCACAAAAAGAGTGTTTTAAAATTGCTCTGTAACACAAATGTTCCACTCTGGTAGTTGAATACACACATCACAAACAAGTTTCTGAGACGGCTTCTGTCTAGTTTTTATGGGAAGATATTTCCTTTTAAACATAGGCCTCAAAGAGCTCGAAATATCCACTTCCAGGTAGTGCCGAAAGAATGTTTCCAACCTACTCTATAAAAGGGAATATTCAACTCTGTGACTTGAATGCAAACATCACAAAGCAGTTTATGAGAATGCTTCCGTCTAGATTTTCTATGAAGATATTCCCGTTTCCAACGAAATCTTCAAAGCTATCTAAATATCAACTTGCAGATTCTACTAAAGGAATGTCTCCAAAATGCTGTATCCAAACAAAGGTTCAGCTCTGTGAATTGAGGACATACAACACAAAGAAGTTTCTGAGAATGCTCCTGTCTGGATTTTATAGGAAGATAACCCGTTTCCAACGAAATCCTCAAAGCTATCCAAATATCCACTTGCAGATTCTACCAAAAGAGTGTTTCAAAACTACTCTGTCAAAAGGAAGGTTCAACACTGTTACTTGAGTACACACAACACAAAGAAGTTTCTGAGAATGCTTCTTTCTGGTTTTTATGAGAGGATATTTCCTTTTTCACCATAGGCCTCAAAGCGCTCGAAATGTCCACTTCCAGGTAGTGCAGAAAGAGTGTTTCAAACCTGCTCTATCAAAGGAAGTGTTCAACTCCATGAGGTGAATGCAAACATCACAGAGAAGTTCCTGAGAATGCTTCTGTTTGATTTTATATGAAGAAATTCCCGTTTCCAACGAAATCTTCAAAGCTATCCACATATCCACCTGCAGATTCTTCAAACGGAGTGTTTCCAAAATGCTGTATCAAAACCAAGGTTCAACTCTGTTAGTTGAGGACACACATCACAAATAAGTTTCTGAGAATGCTTCTGTCTAGATTTTATATGAAGATATCCCCTTTCCAACGAATCCCTCTAAGCTATCCAAATATCCACCTGCAGATTCTACAAAAGGAGTGTTTCCAAAATGCTGTATCAAAACAAAGTTTCAACTCTGTTAGTTGAGGACACACATCACAAATAAGTTTCTGAGGATGCTTCTGTCTAGATTTAATATGAAGATAACCCGTTTGCAACGACATCCTCAAAGCTATCCAAATATCCACTGGCAGATTCTACAAAAAGTGTGTTTCAAAACTGCTCTGTCAAAAGGATGGTTCAACACTGTTACATGAGTACACACAACACAAAGAAGTTTCTGAGAACTCTTCTTTCTGGTTTTTATGAGAAGATATTTCCTTTTTCACCCTAGGCCTCAAAGCGCTCGAAATGTCCACTTCCAGGTAGTGCAGAAAGAGTGTTTCAAACCTGCTCTATGAAAGGAAGTGTTCAACTCCATGAGCTGAATGCAAACATCACAGAGAAGTTCCTGAGAATGCTTCTGTTTGATTTTATATGAAGAAATTCCCGTTTCCAACGAAATCTTCAAAGCTATCCACATATCCACCTGCAGATTCTTCAAAAGGAGTGTTTCCAAAATGCTGTATCAAAACCAAGGTTCAACTCTGTTAGTTGAGGACACACATCACAAATAAGTTTCTGAGAATGCTTCTGTCTAGATTTTATATGAAGATATCCCCTTTCCAACGAATCCCTCTAAGCTATCCAAATATCCACCTGCAGATTCTACAAAAAGAGTGTTTCCAAAATGTGGTAGCAAAACAAAGTTTCAACTCTGTTAGTTGAGGACACACATCACAAATAAGGTTTCTGAGGATGCTTCTGTCTAGTTTTAATTTGAAGATATTTCCTTTCTCACCATAGGCCTGAAAGCGCTTAAAATGTCCACTTCCAGATAATACAGAATGAGTGTTTCAAACCTGCTCTATCAAAGTGAATGTTCAATTCTGTGACTTCAATGCAAACATCACAAAGTAGTTCCTGAGAATGCTTCTCTCTAGATTTTAAATGTAATCCCGCTTCCAACGAAATCCTCAAAGCCATCCGAATATCCACTTTCTGATTCCACAAAAAGATTGTTTTAAAACTGCTCTGTAAAAACAAAAGTTCAAGTCTGTTAGTTGAATACACACATCACAAACAAGTTTCTGAGAATGCTTCTGTCTAGTTTTTATGGGAAGATATTTCCTTTTTCACCATAGGCCTCACAGCGCTCGAAATGTCCACTTCCAGATAGTGCAGAAAGAGTGTTTCAAACGTGCTCTATAAAAGAGAATATTCAACTCTGTGACTTGAATGGAAACATCACAAAGCCGTTTCTGAGAATGCCTGCGTCTAGATTTTATATGAAGTTATTCCCGTTTCCAACGAAATCTTCAAATCTATCTAAATATCAACTTGCAGATTCTACTAAAGGAATGTTTCCAAAATGGTGTATCCAAGCAATGGTTCAACTCTGTTAATTGAGGACATACAGCACAAAGAAGTTTCTGAGAATGCTTCTGTCTAGATTTTATATGAAGATATCCCGTTTCCAACGAAATCCTCAAATCTATCCAAATATCCACTTGCAGATTCTACAAAAAGATTGTTTCAAAACTGCTGTGTCAAAAGGAAGGTTCAACTCTGTTACTTGAGTACACACATCAAAAAGAAGTTTCTGAGAATGCTTGTTTCTGGTTTTTATGAGAAGATATTTCCTTTTTCACCATAGGCCTCAAAGCGCTGCAAAGGTCCACTTCCAAATATTACAAAAAGAGTGTTTCAAACCTGCTCTATGAAAGGAAATTTTCAACTCTCTGAGTGGAATGCAAACATCACAGAGAAGTTTCTGAGAATGCATCTGTCTTGAGTTTATATGCAGAAATTCCTGTTTCCAACGAAATCTTAAAATCTATCCAAATATCCACCTGCAGATTCTACAAAAGGAGTGTTTCCAAAATGCTGTATCAAAACAAAGGTTCAACTGCGTTCGTTTAGGAAACACATCACAAATAAGTTTCTGAGAATCCTTCTGTCTAGTTTTTATTTGAAGATATTTCCTTTCTCCCCATAGGCCTGAAAGTGCTTGAAATGTCCACTTCCAAATACTACAGAAAGAGTGTTTCAAACCTGCACTATGAAAAGGAATGTTCAATTCTGTGACTTGAATGGAAACATCAGAAAGAAGTTCCTGAGAATGCTTCTCTCTAGATTTTATACGTAATCCCGTTTCCAACGAAATCCACAAAGCTATCCAATTATCCACTTTCAGATTCCACAAAAAGAGTGTTTTAAAACTGCTCTGTAGAAAGAAATGTTCAACGCTCTTAGTTGAATACACACATCTCAAACAAGTTTCTGAGAAGGCTTCCGTCTAGTTTTTATGGGAAGATATTTCCTTTTTCACCATAGGCCTCAAAGCACTCGAAATCTCCACTTCCAGGGAGTGCAGAAAGAGTGTTTCAAACCTGCTCTGTAAAAGAATATTTAACTCTGTGACTTGAATGCAAACATCACAAAGCAGTTTCTGACAATGCTTCCGTCTAGATTTTTTATGAAGATATTCCCGTTTCCAACGAAATCTTCAAAGCTATCTAAATATCAACTTGCAGATTCTACTAAAGGAATGTTTCCAAAATGCTGTATCCAAGCAATGGTTCAACTCTGTGAATTGAGGACATACAGCACAAAGAAGTTTCTGAGAATGCTTCTGTCTAGATTTTATATGAAGATATCCCGTTTCCAACGAAATCCTCAAAGCTATCCAAATATCCACTTGCAGATTCTACAAAAAGATTGTTTCAAAACTGCTCTGTCAAAAGGATGGTTCAACACTGTTACATGAGTACACACAACACAAAGAAGTTTCTGAGAACGCTTCTTTCTGGTTTTTATGAGAAGATATTTCCTTTTTCACCATAAGCCTCAAAGCGCTCGAAATGTCCACTTCCTGGTAGTGCAGAAAGAGTTTTTCAAACCTGCTCTATGAAAGGAAGTGTTCAACTCCATGAGCTGAATGCAAACATCACAGAGAAGTTTCTGAGAATGCTTCTGTTTGATTTTATATGAAGAAATTCCCGTTTCCAACGAAATCTTCAAAGCTATCCACATATCCACCTGCAGATTCTACAAAAGGAGTGTTTCCAAAATGCTGTATCAAAACCAAGGTTCCACTCTGTTAGTTGAGGACACACATCACAAATAAGTTTCTGAGAATGCTTCTGTCTAGATTTTATATGAAGATATCCCCTTTCCAACGAATCCCACTAAGCTATCCAAATATCCACCTGCAGATTCTACAAAAAGAGTGTTTCCAAAATGCTGTATCAAAACAAAGTTTCAACTCTGTTAGTTGAGGACACACATCACAAATAAGTTTCTGAGGATGCTTCTCTCTAGTTTTTATTTGAAGATATTTCCTTTCTCCCCATAGGCCTGAAAGCGCTTGAATTGTCCGCTTCCAGATACTACAGAATGAGTGTTTCAAACCTGCTCTATCAAAGTGAATGTTCAATTCTGTGACTTCAATGCAAACATCACAAAGTAGTTCCTGAGAATGCTTCTCTCTAGATTTTATATGTAATCCCGCTTCCAACGAAGTCCTCAAAGCCATCCGAATATCCACTTTCTGATTCCACAAAAAGATTGTCTTAAAACTGCTCTGTAAAAACAAAAGTTCAAGTCTGTTAGTTGAATACACACATCATAAACAAGTTTCTGAGAATGCTTCTGTCTAGTTTTTATGGGAAGATATTTCTTTTTTCACCATAGGCCTCACAGCGCTCGAAATGTCCACTAACATATAGTGCAGAAAGAGTGTTTCAAACGTGCTCTACAAAAGAGAATATTCAACTCTGTGACTTGAATGGAAACATCACAAAGCAGTTTCTGAGAATGCCTCCGTCTAGATTTTATATGAAGATATTCCCGTTTCCAACGAAATCTTCAAATCTATCTAAATATCAACTTGCAGATTCTACTAAAGGAATGTTTCCAAAATGCTGTATCCAAGCAATGGTTCAACTCTGTTAATTGAGGACATACAGCACAAAGAAGTTTCTGAGAATGCTTCTGTCTAGATTTTATATGAAGATATCACGTTTCCAACGAAATCCTCAAAGCTATCCAAATATCCACTTGCAGATTCTACAAAAAGATTGTTTCAAAACTGCTGTGTCAAAAGGAAGGTTCAACTCTGTTACATGAGTACACACATCAAAAAGCAGTTTCTGAGAATGCTTGTTTCTGGTTTTTATGAGAAGATATTTCCTTTTTCACCATAGGCCTCATAGCGCTGCAAATGTCCACTTCCAAATATTACAAAAAGAGTGTTTCAAACCTGCTCTATGAAAGGAAGTTTTCAACTCTGTGAGTGGAATGCAAACATCACAGAGAAGTTTCTGAGAATGCATCTGTCTTGAGTTTCTATGAAGACATTCCCGTTTCCAACGAAATCTTAAAATCTATCCAAATATCCACCTGCAGATTCTACAAAAGGAGTGTTTCCAAAAGGCTGTATCAAAACAAAGGTTCAACTGTGTTCGTTTAGGACACACATCACCAATAAGTTTCTGAGAATCCTTCTGTCTAGTTTTTATTTGAAGATATTTCCTTTCTCCCCATAGGCCTGAAAGCGCATGAAATGTCCACTTCCAGATACTACAGAAAGAGCGTTTCAAACCTGCACTATGAAAAGGAATGTTCAATTCTGTGACTTGAATGCAAACATCAGAAAGAAGTTCCTGAGAATGCTTCTCTCTAGATTTTATACGTCATCCCGTTTCCAACGAAATCCACAAAGCTATCCAATTATCCACTTTCAGATTTCACAGAAAGAGTGTTTTAAAATTGCTCTGTAACAGAAATGTTCAACTCTGTTAGTTGAATACACACATCACAAACAAGTTTCTGAGACGGCTTCTGTCTAGTTTTTATGGGAAGATATTTCCTTTTAAGCATAGGCCTCAAAGAGCTCGAAATATCCACTTCCAGGTAGTGCCGAAAGAGTGTTTCAAACCTACTCTATAAAAGGGAATATTCAACTCTGTGACTTGAATGCAAACATCACAAAGCAGTTTATGAGAATGCTTCCGTCTAGATTTTCTATGAAGATATTCCCGTTTCCAATGAAATCTTCAAAGCTATCTAAATATCAACTTGCAGATTCTACTAAAGGAATGTTTCCACAATGCTGTATCCAAACAAAGGTTCAGCTCTGTGAATTGAGGACATACAGCACAAAGAAGTTTCTGTGAATGCTCCTGTCTGGATTTTATATGAAGATAACCCGTTTCCAACGAAATCCTCAAAGCTATCCAAATATCCACTTGCAGATTCTACCAAAAGAGTGTTTCAAACCTGCTCTGTCAAAAGGAAGGTTCAACACTGTTACTTGAGTACACACAACACAAAGAAGTTTCTGAGAATGCTTCCTTCTGGTTTTTATGAGAAGATATTTCCTTTTTCACCATAGGCCTCAAAGCGCTCGAAATGTCCGCTTCCAGGTAGTGCAGAAAGAGTGTTTCAAACCTGCTCTATGAAAGGAAGTGTTCAACTCCATGAGCTGAATGCAAACATCACAGAGAAGTTTCTGAGAATGCTTCTGTTTGATTTTACATGAAGAAATTCCCGTTTCCAACGAAATCTTCAAAGCTATCCACATATCCACCTGCAGATTCTACAAAAGGAGGGTTTCCAAAATGCTGTATCAAAACCAAGGTTCAACTCTGTTAGTTGAGGACACACATCACAAATAAGTTTCTGAGAATGCTTCTGTCTAGATTTTATATGAAGATATCCCCTTTCCAACGAATCCCTCTAAGCTATCCAAATATCCACCTGCAGATTCTACAAAAAGAGTGTTTCCAAAAGGCTGTATCAAAACAAAATTTCAACTCTGTTAGTTGAGGACACACATCACAAATAAGTTTCTGACGATGTTTCTGTCTAGTTTTTATTTGAAGATATTTCCTTTCTCACCATAGGCCTGAAAGCGCTTGAAATGTCCACTTCCAGATACTACAGAATGAGTGTTTCAAACCTGCTCTATAAAAGTGAATGCTCAATTCTGTGACTTCAATGCAAACATCACAAAGAAGTTCCTGAGAATGCTTCTCTCTAGATTTTATATGTAATCCCGCTTCCAACGAAATCCTCAGAGCCATCCGAATATCCACTTTCTGATTCCACAAAAAGAGTGTTTTAAAACTGCTCTGTAGAAACAAAAGTTCAACTCAGTTGAATACACACATCACAAACAAGTTTCTGAGAATGCTTCTGTCTAGTTTTTATGGGAAGATATTTCCTTTTTCACCATAGGCCTCAAAGCGCTCGAAATGTCCACTTCCAGATAGTGCAGAAAGAGTGTTTCAAACGTGCTCTAGAAAAGAGAATATTCAACTCTGTGACTTGAATGGAAACATCACAAAGCACTTTCTGAGAATGCTTCCGTCTAGATTTTATATGAAGATATTCCCGTTTCCAACGAAATCTTCAAATCTATCTAAATATCAACTTGCAGATTCTACTAAAGGAATGTTTCCAAAATGCTGTATCCAAGCAATGGTTCAACTCTGTTAATTGAGGACATACAGCACAAAGAAGTTTCTGAGAATGCT